>NC_000012.12:74278309-74429824 GCF_000001405.40 Homo sapiens
GTGGGTCCAGTGGGTCCCTGGACTCATTCTTTGGTCATTTTCCCAGTGACAGAATGCATAATTGGCATAGACATACTTAGCAGCTGACAGATCCCCCACATTGGCTCCCTGACTGGCAGGGTGAGGGCTATTATGCCTTCAGTGGCCTTGCCAGCTGAAGGCAAATTGCTTCTGGTGGGCCTTATGGACAGGAATGGTGCGAAAGGCCAACTGGGAGCCACTAGCGCTGCCTCAATCTAGAAAAATAGTAAATCAAAAACAATATCACATCCCTGGAGGGATTCCGGAGATTAGTGCCACTATCAAAGACTTGAAAGATGCAGGGGTGGTGTTTCCCACCACATCCCCATTCAACTCTCCTATTTGGCCTGTGCAGAAGACAGAGGGATCTTGGAGAATGACAGTGGATTATCATAAGCTTAACAAAGTGATGACTCCAGTTGCAGCTGCTGTACCAGATGTGGTTTCACTCCTTGAGCAAACTAACACATCTTCTGGTACCTGGTATGCAGCCATTTACTTGGCAAATGCCTTTTTCTTTATTCCTGTCCATATGGCCCACCAGAAGCAATTTGCCTTCAGCTGGCAAGGCCACTGAAGGCACAGCAATATACCTTTACTGTGCTACCTCAGGGGTATATGAACTCTCTGGCTTTGCATCATAATCTTATTCAGAGAGACCTTGATCACTTTTTACTTCTGCAAGATACCACACTGGTCGATTACATTGATGATATTATGCTGATTGGATCCAGTGAGCAAGAAGTAGCAATGCATTAAACTTACTGGTCAGACGTTTGCTGGCCAGAGGATGGGAAATAAATCTAACTAAAATTCGGTATACTTCTATCAGTAAAACTTCTAGGGGTCCAGTGGTGTGGAGCCTATTAAGATATTCTTTCTAAGGTGAAGGATAAGTTACTGCATTTGGCCCCTCCTACAACCAAGAAAGAGGCACAATGCCTAGTAGCCTATTTGGATTTTAGAGACAACACATTTCTCATTCAGGTGTGTTACTCTGGCCCATTTATCAAGTGACCTGAAAGGTTGCCAGTTTTGAGTGGGGTGCAGAATAGGAGAAAGCTCTGCAACAGGTTCAGGCTGCTGTGCAAGCTTCTCTGCCACTTGGGCCATGTGACTCAGCAGATCCAATGCTGCTTCTGGTGTCAGTGGCAGAAAGAGATGCTGTTTGGAGCCTTTGGAGGCTGTCATAGGTGAATCACAGCAGAGGCCCCTAGGATTTTGGGGCAAGGCCCTGTCATCTTCTGCAGATAACTACTCTCCTTTTCAGAGATAGCTCTTAGCCTGTTACTGAGCTTTTGTGGAAACTGAACATTTGATTATGGATCATCAAATCACCATGCGACCTAAACTTCCTATTATGAACTGGGTGCTTTCTGACCCATCTAGCCATGAATGACCCATGCACAACAGCATTCCATCATTAAATGGAAGTGATATATATGTGATGGGGCTTGAGCAGGTCCTGAAGGCACAAAAAGTTACCTGAGGAAGTGGTTCTAACACCCATAGTATCCAGTCCTGCCACCCTGCCTTCTCTCCCTCAGCCTGCACTGAAGGCCTCATGGGGATTTCTCTATGATCATGGGGAGTTGACAGAAGAAAAGAAGACTAGGGCTTAGTTCACAGATGGTTCTGCACGATACGCAGGCACTATCCGAAAGTGGACAGCTGCAGCACTACAGCCCCATTCTATGACATCCCTGTAGGACAGCGGTGAAGGGAAATCTTTCCAGTGGGCAGAACTTCAAGCCATGCACCTGGGTGTACACTTTGCATGGAAGGAGAAATGGCCAGATATGTGATTATATACTGATTCATGGGCTGTAGCCAATGGTTTGGCTGAATGGTCAGAGATCTGGAAGAAGCATGATTGTAAAATTGGTGAGAAAGAAATTTGGGGAAGAGGTATGTGGATGGACCTCTCTGAGTAGTTGAAAACTGTGAAGTTATTTGTATCCCATGTGAGTGCTCACCAAGAGGTGATCTCAGCGGAGGAGCAGTTTAATAATCAACTGGATAGGATAACCCGTTCTGTGGACACCACTCAGTCTCTTTCCCCAGCCACGCCTGTCATTGCCCAATGGGCCGATGAACAAAGTGGCCATGGTAGCAGGGATAGAAGTTACACAGTAGCTCCGCAACATGGACTTCCACTCACCAAGGCTGACCTGGCTATGACCACTGCTGAGTGACCAATTTGCCAGCAGCACAGACCAACACTGAGTCCTTGATATGGCACCATTCCTCAGGGTGATCAGCCAGCTACCTGGTGGCATGTTGATTATATTGGACCTCTTCCATCATGAAAAGGGCAGAGGTTTGTACTCACTGGAATAGACACTTACTCCAGATATGAGTTTGCCTATCCTGCATGCAATGCTTCTGCCAAGACTACCATCCGTGGACTCACAGAATGCCTTACCTATAGTATTCCACACAGCATAGAAATTCTGACCAAGGCACTCACTTTATGGCTAAAGAAGTGCAGCACTGGGCTCATCCTCATGGTATTCACTGGTTTTACCATGTTCCCCACCATCTGGAAGCAGCTGGATTGACAGAACAGTGAAATGGCCTTTTGAAGTCACAATTACAACTCCAACTAGGTGACAATACTTTGCAGGTTTAGACAAAGTTCTCCAGAAGGCTGTGTATGCTCTGAATCAGCGTCCAGTATATGGTACTGTTTCTCCCATAGCCAGGATTTACAGGTCCAGTAATCAAGGGGTGGAAGTGGAAGTGGCACCACTCACTATCACCCCTAGTGATCCACTAGCAAAATTTTTACTTCCTATTCCTGTGACATTACATTCTGCTGGCCTAGAGGTCTTAGTTCCAGAGTGAGGAATGCTGCCACCAGGAGACACAACAATTATTCCATAAAACTGGAAGTTAAGATTGCCACCTGGACACTTTGGGCTCCTCCTACCTTTAAGTCAACAGGCTAAGAAGTGAGTTACAGTGTTGGCTGGGGTGACTGACCCCTGACTATCAAGATGAAATCAGTCTACTACTCCACAATGGAGGTAAGGAAGAGTATGCATGGAATACAAAGATCCATTAGGGTGTCTCTTAGTATTACCATGCCCTGTGATTAAGGTCAATGGGAAACTACAACAGCCCAATCCAGGCAGGACTACAAATGGCCCAGGCTCTTCAGGAATGAAGGTTTGGGTTACTCCACCAGGAAAAAAAACACAACCTGCTGAGGTGCTTGCTGAAGGCAAAGGGCATACAGAATGGGTAGTTGAAGAAGGTAGTCATCAATACCAGCTACAACCATGTGACCAGCTGCAGAAACAAGGACTGTAATTGTCATGAGTATTTCCTCCTTCTTTTGTTAAAGATGTGTTTGTGCATGTATACACTTGTACTAAGATATTCATTTTATTTCCTTTTCCTTTATCATGTGACATAAGATTTATTGACTTCATATCAGCATTTAAGTATTTTTAACTTTATGTAATAGTATTTGGGTTGGGGATTGGTGAGTTTCAGGTTGTACGAAGGATAGGTATTACGTTAGGTATAATTATGACTTTATTATTGTCTTTATTTGAAGATTATTTATGATCTCAGGAGATATGTATTTGTTCAAATTCACAAGAGATGGACTTGTGATGATTAATACTGAGTACCAACTTGATTGGATTGAAGGATACAAAGTGTTGATCCTGGGTGTGTCTGTGAGGGTGTTGCCAGAAGGTATTAACATTTGATTCAGTGGGCTGAGGAAGGCAGATCCACCCTTAATCTGGTGAGCATGATCTAATCAGCTGGCAGCAAATATAAAACAGGCAGAAAAACCTGAAAAGGAGAGATGGGCTTAGCCTCTCCAGCCTACATCTTTCTCTCATGCTGGATGCTTCCTCCCCTCAAACATTGGACTCCAAGTTCCTCAGTTCTGGGACTGGAACTGGCTCTCTCTGCTCCTCAGCTTGCAGACAGCCTATTGTGGGACCTTGTGATCATGTAAGTTAATACTTAATAAACTCCTCTATATATATGTATGTAAGATATATACGATAACTAATAGGATATATATACATATATACATATATATCCTATTAGTTCTGTCCAAGAGAACCCTAATACAACAGTGATACTTTCAAACTGAACCGCACAATTAATCAGCAGATCGAATTGATGTTTGCAGAATACCTCATCCAATAACAGCAGCATATACATTTTTCTCAAGCTTATATGGAATATTAACCGAGATAAATACACTTGAACAAATGTAAAAAATAGAAATAAAAAGTATGTACCAGACCACACTAGAATTAAACTAGAAATTATAGGTGACTGGAAATAGCTGAAAAATTTAGAAATATTTAGAGATTAAACAATGTATTTCTAAATACAACATAATGCAAAGAAGATAGTGCCAGAGATGTTAAAAAATATTTTGAACTAATATGAAAATGAAAATAAAACAACATTTGTGGGATGCCACAGAAACAGTGCTTAGAGGCAAATTAATAGCACTGAATACATACAAAGGTCTAAGATAAATGACCCAAGTTTCCATCTTATGAAACTAAAGAAAGAAGACCTGTTTAAACAGAAGGGAAAAAGTAATAATTAGAGCAGAAATCAATGAAATAAAAAAATAAGAAATCAAGAGAGAAAATTAACAAATTGAACAGCTGGTTCTTTGAAAAGATCAATAAAATAGATAAACCTTTAGCCAGGTTAACTAAGAAAAAATAAATAGGATAAAAATTTCTAATACCAAAAATGAAGAAGGAATCATCGCTACTGATATTACAGACATTAAAATAGTAATAAATAATATTATGAACAACTTTAAGCTGTTCAAATGTTGCAGCCATGTTTATAAATACTCACCTTGGCCAAGATTGATTGGTCTGGTATAAGCCAATACACAGAAAATATTTATTGAGCATTTATTGTATAATAATTTACCCTAGCTTCTGAGGATCCAACAGCAAGCAAAACACAAAAAAGTTCTATCCTACACTAAGCTTACATTTACTTATTGCCTAAGTAAATAATTTTAGAGGTAATGAGAATTCAGAATTTTTTTCCTTGCTTCTGCCTGTGATTCTTAATTCTGTGATTTAATCTTAAAAACAAAAAATACTAAATCAGTGAAATCATAGTTTTTGTTCAAAGATTTTTGACTTTCCATCACACTCCGAATACAAGTCCTTGCTGTTAAAGTGTCCCTATTTGCTGTAACCCTGCCTCCCCATATTTCCATGACTCTACTTTTGCCACCTTTCTACTTACTTACTCTGCTTTTGAGTTTCATGGATAGTCTTGTTGTTTAGTTTACCTAAAATACTCTTCAGTGAAATAGCTGCATGGCTTGTTTCGTCCCTCCTGTTAAGTCTCTGCTCAAATACATCTTTATTGTTGAAATCTTTCATGACCACCCTGTACAAAATAAGTCTTTCATTATTGTTCTTATCCTGCTTTAATTATATTCATAGAAGTGGTCCCCAATGGATATAATATATAAACTATACTTTATCATCTATCTACACTCACACATGCCACTAGGAGATAAGCTGCATGAGAGCGAAATGTTTGTTCAGTTCATCGCCTCACCAACATTTGGAACAATGTCTGATACATAGAAGGTACTCAGTAGCAATTTATTAAATGAATAGATTCCCGATTTAAAAATATGTATATATTTTTCTATATTTGAAATTTTCAAACATATAATCATAAGAAACAATCTGGAGAATTATAAAACATTCATATTTCAATTTCAATATTCTTTCAGCTTTTCTATGCTACTAAAAGATGACAAGTACTTCTAGCATCTTTACATACAGATATTAAGGGGAGAAAGGAATGGTTCTGAAGTACAAAGTGAGGAAAATAGATATATTAGGATTCAGGGGTAAGGAGTATCTGGAGAAACAGAAAAACATAGACAGGTAATCACAGTCTTAGAGATAGTCTAGAACTGAGCAAAGTGCCTGGAGGATGGAGGGTGCAAAGGCAGGTGGACAACAAAAAATGCGAAAAAGAAAGTGGCCAAATACATTTTACATTATACTTCAATGTAAAACTTCTCCACTGGTTGAGAACTTCAATGAAATATTCAACGAACAGTGACTATAAAAAAACTCAAGAAAAGGGGGTCTATTTCACATCTGAGTTTCAAAACATAGAAAGAAGTTAGTGAACAGAGGCATGATTGAGACTGGTTGCTGAGGACCAATTGTGTTCTCACCAAATTTATATGTTGAGATCCTAACCCACAATGTAACAGTATGAGGAGGTAAGGCCTTGGGGAGGTGATTAGTTTGTGACGGTGGAGCCCTCATGAATGGGATTTGTGCCCTTTTTATAAAAAAGACCCCAGGGAATTCTTTCTCCTTTTCTACCATGTGAGGACACAGCCAGAAGATGGCTATCTATGAACCAGAAAGTGGGCCCTCACCAGATACCAAATCTTCCAGTGCCTTGATTGATCTTACACTTGCCAGTCTCCAGAGTTGCGAGAAAAAAATGTTTGTTGTTTCTGTTACCCAGTGTATGGTATTTTCATTATAGCAGCCTGAACTAAGACACTGGGAATCATTGAAAGCAGAAACTTCAGACAGGACACTGGGTTTCAAAATATGGATCACTGTTATCAGTTCTGATTTGATGAGAAAAGGAGAACTATGAGAAACAAAATGGATATATTATAAAGTTTAAACCTTACATGATCTTGGGTGCTGGTTAGGCCTTCTATGTAAGTCTTCTTCCCCTATGTCAGATGATGGTCCTGAAGCTAGAAAGGAAAAATAGAAATAAAGTGAGAGAGAAGAAAGACAAAGTAGAGTATTTGAGAATGAGCTGAAACCCATGAGGATAAACTGAAATTTGTCCATCACATAAAGCTATATTAGTCTCTCATTGTCTCCAGCCTACAATTTTGTTTGTATGGGGGGCCTGCAGTATAGCTGAGGTACTTCTCTACAGAGTTTCATGTAAGTGTGGTCTAGGATCCAGGGAAACTGAAGAAAGAGATCAAATGGAAGCTGAAGGAGCTCTGGGTCTGGCTGCAGTCCCAAGGAGATCTGGCAGAATCTAAAGCTGTTGTGGGCTAGCTACTGCCTCTAGCCAATGACGTGAGCCAGTAGATCCACATTAAAATATGTGACTTGTAAGAGCATCTCACTCTAGTCTGATTTTCCAAGCATAAACAAGACTGCCGCTTAACTCCTTTCTTCCAAATCTTGTTAACATATCTATTGTGGAAATCCGTAACTTAGAATCACGTAAGAAAGCAAATTGTGAAAATGTGGTTCCAAATTTGTGATTTTAACAAAATATAAATGCAGTCTGTAACTGATATGTATTGCTGTGTGAAAAGCACAGAGTAGTGTAAACAATAGTGTAAAACGACACCTTTATTTATGATTATCTTTCAAAGTTCTAGAGATTGGCCTTGGCTGGGTGGTTCTTGCTCCGGGTTTCTCATGTGGTTGCAGATAATGAGTAACATCATTCTAAGGAGTTCTCTCACATGTCTGATAGATAATGATGTCAGTCACCTGGATTCCATTTGCTGCTTTGGGCTGAAACACAACTCAGTTGCCTGGATTTCATCACAGCTCATGGTTGGTTTCCAGGACAAGCATCTGAAAGCCAAACAGAAGCTGTTTCACCTTTTATGACATAACATTTGGAGTCATGCATTGTTACCTCTGTCACATTAATAAATGTATTAGTCAGGGTTCAGTTAGAGAAACAGGACTCATAAGGAATGTATACCTTGAAAGGAATTCACTTATTTTGGAGGCTGGTTAGGCAAGTTTCACAACCATAAGGTACGCCATCAGCAGCAACAACTTGGAACTCTTGGATATGACTGAAGCTGCTGTCTATAGGCACACATTTTTCAGAAAATCCCTGTTCTGCTCCTAATCTGGAGATCATCAAATTCCACAGAATGGTTGCTATATGAAAATGACAGTCACTGCTTCAGTCACATCCACTTTGAAATCTAAGTTCATGCTGACAGCCTTTAACCAGCTCATTGATACACTGATACTACTACTCCAAGTTAATGAGCCACTCAAGATGAGAATAGAAGGAAAAAGTCAGGGCTTGCAAATGAGTTTAGTCGGCTTATCCTATAGATAAGAGCCTTGATGTGGTAGCTCTTAGGCTGCATCACACTGATTTGGAAGGCTTAGAAAATGCCATGCCCATTTGCAGATCACTAGATAAATAGCTTGATGAGAAAGTCTTGCAACACTGATAGAATCAGATATATTACCCATGTGTTTTTGTTTTTGTTTGGTTTTGCCTAAACATCTGTCTGTCACACATGATTTTCCTCTTCTGTGCTCTCACAATAATTTAAAAACAATATTTATAAAGATAAATCTAATTTAAAAATTAAATAGATTCAAAACATTTAAATTAAGCAAAAATGCTGACTCTATGTGGAACAAATTAAATGGAGTCTCAATTGCTATATTACTGATATCTTTAAACTTTCTTCTCTTGCTTATTTAACATAAACAAATAAGAAACTGATATATTTAAGCTCTCTTTCACTGCTGATCACCAGCTTTAGAGTCTATTCTCAGAACTTTAGATCACAAATGGTGAGATCCATGACTATGTATAAAAACAAGCTGGAAGCAGTTTCAACCTTTGGCATTCTGAGAGTTTCTTCCAGAGAGTGCTTATCCCAGCAAAAGCTAGTGAAAATATACGTCTAAATGCACAGTACCCTGTCATGTCTTTGACTTTACTGCTAAGACTTCAAAAAGAACTTTTCAAACTTTTTTTTTCAGGGACTTCACTACTCATGAAAGAATCTTTCCTTTGTTAAAGAGAGATCCACTAATTTAGGAAATTAAGCCTAAGACGTTCAACTATGCAGTATTATTAGTGACAACATAAGATGTTAAATCGCGTAGAATTCCACATTATAGTGTGAGTTTCAAGCCTCCATTGAATACTCAACTGACCAGGAAATAAGAGGAAATAGTTTATGTAAGAATTCATTGTAACATGAATGAGTTATTTCTGCTTTTAACTTACTGAAAATCTACTTGAAACACAAGGAATATATGTAAACTACTAACAGATTTATCAAGGGAGTCTATCATTGGCACAGTCTATTTTAAGGAAATTCAAGTTCACAAGGCATGAAAGACAAGTCTCACTGTTTCCTGCTAGTCAGACCACTTGCTACCATGAAAACATCATATTTTAAGAGTGACATATGTACACGTGAGTTGTTGGAAGTTTTCCTGGAATCATATGCTATGGAGAAAAAAAAAATCACGATTCTAGTGTGGTTACAGTCCTTTAAAAATTCTTAGAGAATACATGACAACTTTTTCTTCAATATATGAAGATTAGTCACAGAAAAGGGGGAGAAGACACTGTGAAAGTAAATCTGTAGCAGAAAAGTAAATATTACAGAAAAGATAGTTTTGTTCACTATAAGAAATAGCATAGCATTTGGAGATATACCTAATGTTAAACGACGAGTTACTGGGTGCAGCACACCAACATGGCACATGTATACATATGTAACTAACCTGCACGTTGTGCACATGTACCCTAAAACTTATAGTAAAAAAAAAAAAAAAGAAATAGCATTTAGACCTGTCCAATCGTGGATAAATTTCCACAGGAGGTATTGAAGCTCGTTATTTTTCGTTCTACTTCCAGTTTTTATTAATAGGGACAAACATTCACCATTTCAGCAACTCTGCATCCATTAGCAAGTAATTTTATAATGTCATTTGGCTTAATAAGAAATGCATTCACAAAGGTCCTTTTAAAAAACAAGCTATTTGTAAATCAAGGCACATCTCTAGTTATTTTCTTATGATTGGAAATATTAAAGCTGGATATCAATTGCTAGTTAACAACTAGAGGGGATTTTTGTGCTTGATGGAATGTTGACCTCTATGTTCCTAAGTATTCTTTTGTAATGATAAGATTGTTAATAGCTTAATAAAGACCACCAAAATAGAATTCAAAAGAGTTTGGATTTACTGTTGCTTTTTCCTCATTTGATCATGGAAAATTATTTAGCCTCTCTCTTTTTCACGCTTAGAGCATTATTGTGCTATAAGTCAGCAAGATAAAAGATGGCATAATGCATGAAATAGTTTATGATAGTCTAGTATGCATGAAATATCATACTCTCTGGAGTTCTCTGATGTGGTGGATTTCAGGCGGAATTTGAAGAATGAGTAAGCTTTAATTTTGAAGAGATTTCATTCTAAAAGGGGAGTAAAGACAAAGGCAGATTACTATGATTTGGAAATACTTTTTAAAAATTTCCAATGGGCTATTCCGGGCAAATGGAAGGTAGGATGAACCTACCCTATATGGCATCAGTCAGTAAACTAGAATCAGTGGACCAACTCTGGCCTGTTTTGGTAAATAAAAGGTTATTGGATCCCAGACTTGCTATTTCTTTACATATATTTATAGCTGCTTTTCTGAGACAAACTGGAGAGTTTAGTACTTGTGACTCTCTAGAGACTGAGTGGCCAGCAAAATTCTAAAATATTTGCTATCTACCTCTTTAAGGAAAAGTTTGCTTACTCCTGCTTTAAGGAATCTTTGTGTGTCCTTAGAAAAGAAAAAGAGAAATACCTTGCCTGTGAGAAATTCCCAGAGGATTTTCTCTGCAGCAGCGATTCTTTGTTCTTTATTATTTTGGCAATAATTCATATGATAGATTTTAGAATATAAAAGACAATAATGGTTTAGTGGAAAAGCAGGAAGATCCCAGTATTTCACAGCAGCTAAATTTCTGTCTCAGCAACAAGAAGAAGGTTGATTTACAATTTATTTAAATGACAGTAATCATGATACTTGCAATATATGACATTTTGTGTAACTTCAAGTATTATTTCATCTTTAGTATTAAACAATAAACCTTGATATTGCTTAGGATTAGGAGCAGAGTTAACTACGTAAGTACTCATGCTATATACGTGGTAGAAGATATATTAGAAAGTCTTCATTCTTCTTCAGTACCTCATTTTTCCTTTATTCATCTACTCATTTATTTCCTCTTGCCCCAAAAGGCAATTCACTTCAAAAAGCTATATTACTGAAAAATATGATGGAAGACATAAGTCACATAAATTAGATAATTCAAAGATAAGGCTGTTTCTAGCTCACCACTAATTTTCCTTTGATTTGTGCTTTTTTCCTTTTTACATAGAAGTCTGCATGTGTTTTGCCATAAGTCAGCTTAACTTCACACCTGATGATTAGTTCCACGTGACTGGTGAAAAGTATTGCTATACATAAAACATACCTGGTTTCAGACCCTATCAGCCTGTAAGCACAATGATTATTTACTATATCAATGTGATTCTAAAATTGCTTTTTAAGACTTTTGTTATTTAGTGCTGACATAAAAATTTTTGAAGCAGTTGGGCTTTCATTGAAATTGCTTGAGAATCATGAGTAAATCTTTTCACAAAAATACTGAGAGCAAGTAGAGAAAACACTGGCTGTATTGCCTGGAGGTAAGAGTACAACACTATTTTTTTTTCTCTCTCTCTCTCTCCGGTGCTTAGTTAAGAAGCTTTAAGGCTTTGCATGGTCCTTGGGTGGGACTTGGAATAAGTCAAACAGAAGCTTAATTCCTGCTTCTTTTTGACAATGATTTTCTCAAGCTCTGTACTTCAGTTTTCACATCTGCAAAATTAGGCTAAAAATTTCTCTCAAAAAGTTGCTATGCTTTAAGTTTAAGAAAACACATAATAGGCACGCTGTCATATACACAAGCATTTTCTACATCAATGTTATAGACCCTATTTCTTACTGTTTAACAATATACTTAGATTAACATCCGTATATTTAATAAAACAAAATTTTAATTGAAGGGAAGAAAATTAGGCAAATTATTTACCATGACCAAATTTGTCCATAATTACAGTTTACTCATTTGTAACTTACCCAAATATCATTCTTTTATATATAACACAAATTAGTACATATCATTGATATTCTTTCTCTGATAATGTCTACTGCTGTAGAGAAAAGACTTCATTAAATATTGTCAAAATCCTGCTATTTTCACATAGTCCTTAATGCTTTTGAATCCTGGGAAAGTGGTATTGATTATCATCTTACTTAGTGTCACATCTTCCAGAATTTTTATGGGAGTGGTGACAATTGCCACTGCCCACAAAGTGGCTATGAATGAAGATTAAACAGCTGCTTTGATTCTAGATTGTTATCACCCAAATTGAAATGTCATAACACATTGTATAGAGAAGGCAAGCAGCTTACTGAGGAGGAAATCTCCTAATATTGACATCCTACCTATTTATCTAAATCAATTCTAAAGACAAAAATATCAAATCAATGTTAATCAAATGGAATGCAAGCTGACCCTGAGTATAAGGGGAAGGAAATGTTACTCAAAACATGTGACCAGCTAGTTTTTATATCCTTTTACTTTTCTTCTTTTAAAAATATATAAAAATAAAATAACTACAAAATTACACATACATGATTGTCTGCTTCAATGATGTAGTTACCGTCTGTTTTTAGGAAGAAAGTTTCTTCTCCAGAAGCTGTACCATTGATGTATATTGTACAGTTGGGAGAAGCAATTCAAAGAACTAAGGAGGGAGTAAACTTCCAATAAGTTCCTTTGCAAGATATTTCAGGGATGCTAACAATGAACCCAACTGAGGATCTGTGGTTCTTCCTCCTGGGATTTTTTTTTTTTTTTTTGGAAGTTGCTGGGTTTCTTTTAAATACTCTTAAACAAAAGGGAAGGGTGTATAATTGGAAACAATGGCTCTGAACCAGATCACAATATCTGGTCTCGTGTGTGTGTGTGTGTGTGTGTGTGTGTGAGTGTAGAGACAGAGACAGGATCTTGCTATGTTGCTCAAGCTAGTCTCGAACTCTGGGCCTCAAGCAATCCTCCCACCTCAGCCTCCCAAATTGCTGGAATTACAGGTGTGAGCTACCACACCTGACCCTCAATCTGGACTTTAGCCAACTGAGTGATCAGTTACTTGTTGTAAGAGATCTCCATTCTAGTGTTTTTGAAGATGACAGAAACCCCTCAATGTAAGAAGAAATTTAAAGGAAAATGCCATGTGTGGTTACTTCTGAAAATTCACACACTTTAGAGTTTTGTTATACGCAAGGTAGTAGAAATCATACTATAAAAGTGTCAAGTTTAAAGAGTTTGTATGTTCTATGTCAAAAATTGTTTTCTATCCCATCCTCCAAAACTGTATCTTGTAGACACAGATGTGAGAATTTAGTTTAGTAGATGTTCATCACTGTTATAAGTGACCCCAATTTACAGAATTTATCTTCTGTTTTCTGTTGTCACATCAACCAGTCTAATATAATTAGACACATGAAGTAAATGTATTTTGTAGGTTTAAAATATGCCATCTGCTTGACAGTTATACATATTGCAACCACCATTTAGTGCCAGCATTATAAAAAAATTATATATATATTTTTTGGGGGGAAACAGAACTACTTTGTTGCCCAGGCTGGAGTGCAGTGGTGCAATCTCAGCTCACTGCAACCTCCACCTCCTGGGTTTAAACAGTTCTCGTGCCTCAGCCTCCCAATTAGCTGAGATTACAGGCACGCACCACCACGCCCGGCTAATTTTTGTATTTTTAGTAGAGACAGGGTTTCACCATGTCGGCCAGGCTGGTCTAGAACTCCTGACCTCAAGAAATCCACCTCAGCCTCACAAAGCGCTGGGATTACAGGCATGAGCCACCGCGCCAGGCCATAAATAAATATTATCACAAGAAATTAAATCAAAGTAATCTCACTTTTAATTGGCAAAAATTAAAAAAAACTCAAATTACGTGGTCTTAAGGAAAAAGAGTTTAAGCTTTACAATATATTGACAACATAGTAACATTAAAAATTAAAAGCAAATATTATTTTATAGATTAAAAAAATCACCCAGGTAGATCCTGCGCCTGGCCAGCCCCGCCCAGCCTTCCCTCCGGCCCACCTGACGGCCTTGCGTCTCTCCTCCTCCCCAACTTGTGGCCGGCAGCTGCCCTCCAGCTTTGGCTCCGTGGACTGGCTCTCCCAGAGCAGCTGCTCAGAGCCGACTCACACCTCCAGGCCTGCCAGGTCTCCCAGGGGAGCCTCCCTGGCCTGTGTCAGATATCCGGCACCCGGGAGCCCCCTCAGGCCGTCAGCATCAAGGAGTCTAGGTCCTCAAATCGGCCTGCGCCGGAGAGGACCGTGGTTGGGTTGAGTAAGGGGCCAAACCCCTGGCGGGCCCCCAGTGTCCGCACAGCCTTCACCACTGAGTAGTTCCGCGCCTTGGAGACCGTCTTCCGGTACCACCAGTACTTGGGCTCTCAAGAGCGGAAGAGGCTGGCCAGGGAGATGCAGCTCTGGGAGGTCCAGATAAAAACCTGGTTTCAAAATCCCCGGATGAAACACAAAGGGCAAATGCAGGACTCCCAGCTGAATAGTCCCTTCTCTGAGTCACTCCATGCGTCCCTGGCTTTCCATTCCCTGTCTTCTGGCCTTCCCAATGGCCTGCAGCTGCTGTGCTCTCGGGCACCCCTGCCCAGGCCCCAGGCTCTGATGCTGCCCCCGGCTCCTTCTGGGGTCTCTGCCGAGTGGGACAAGAAGCCCTGGCCTCTGCATGGGCTTCCTGCTGTGGGCAGCCTCTGGCGTACCATCCCCCAAGCCCAGGAAGTGGCGTGAATCCGCTAGGACCAGCCCTGTCTACGGGGCTCTGAGGCCTGTGTGCTCTGCTGGAGACAAGGGTTGCATTTTGAGTAAGCGCCTCTGACTCCATGCCTCCCACACACGCGGCCTTGTGCAGATCGCACCTGGCACCTACCTGGAGGACTCAGCTGTTCTGTTTATATCGTGGGGGCACCTCTCACCCTGACCCACACAAAGGTTCTGGAGATTTCTGGAGAATGTATTTATTAAAGCTACCTCTTTACTGAAAGTTACCAAAAGGGTCGGTTTACGAAGTAAATGAAGGGTCAGTGAACAGAGTCAGACGCAGAAGTGGGTTTGTTATTGGTAGGGCTTTCAGCATATGATAAAAGGATAATTTGTTTTTTAAAAAGTGTTGGAAAAACTGTTTTTCCATTTGGAAAAAGTAAAGGTTGTAAGCTTTGTGTGTAAAAAAAAAAAACCATGAAGGATTGGAAGGGAATGCAGGTGTCGTGTTTATAACTTTGTGGTTCGAGTTCCTTTTAACAAGGACGCCGAAGCTGGAAAGCAGGAGGGACAAGGGTGAAAATTAAGGCGGGGTGCTGGGGCCCTGCAGTGCGCTCTAGGTCGTGCGTGAGCTGGGACTGTGCCCGCAGCCTGCTGGGGGCTGCTCTTCTCCAGCCAGGGAAAGCAGAAAGCAGGGCAGCTGGAACCTGCTGCTGTGCCTGGACCGAAGCCTCCAGCATGTGCTTACCTATCCCCCTCCTCGCAGCAGCCTCAGGACAAAACAGAATGACTCAAGGACAGCATTTCCTGCAGAAAGTCAGGAAGTGCCCATTATGGGAGGCATGGAAGCCCCCCCACCCCGGGTAGTACTCTCCCTCATTGATGGACCATTCTTGGTGCAGACTCCTCACTGCACACACCAAAGCTGAGACAAGAGCGCATCCGTCCACGTCGCCCCAGGAGGTAGGCAGCGCGAGGCGCCCAGACAGACGGGTTCAGCCTGCAAGACTGTGAGGCGACTTGTGAAACCGACCCAAGCATTCCAACAGGAACAAAAGTGTGGTCCTGTGGCCACGTCCACAGCAAGTTCCACTTTCCCCTTGCTCATTTCTGCGTTGTTGGAGGTGTTTACAACCAGCATGTGCTTTTATAACACAACCTCAGGTAAGAGTGGAAGAGCTGCCGTGCGTCCTGGAGAGTGATAATGTGACGGAAGCCTGGGCGAAGCCCTCGGAGAGCAGTGGCTGGACAGGGGCTCCTGGGTGGGGCTTGGACAGCACTGATTTGTGGGTGTGGAAGGGGCCACGTTGTCCGTGATAAAAGTAAAAATGCGCCGCCAAAAAAAAAAAATCACCCAGCACTTTGGGATGCCCAGATGGGTGGATCACTTGAGGCAAGGAGTTCAATTCCAGCCTGGCCAACATGGTGAAACCCCGTCTCTACTGAAAATACAAAAATTAACCAGGCATGGTAGCCTGGGCCTGTAGTCCCAGCTACTCAGGAGCCTGAAGCACGAGAATCGCTTGAACCCGGGAGGTGGAGGTTGCAGTGAGCAGAGATGGCGCCACCGCACTCCAGCCTAGGTGACAGAGCAAGACTCTGTCAAAATTTAAATATATATATATTTATATTACATATATATTTAAATATATATATTTATATTACATATATTTAAATATATATATTTATATTACATATATATTTAAAAATATATATATTTATATTACATATTTAAAAAATATATATTTAAATATATATATTTATATTACATATATTTTAAAATATATATTTATATTACATATATATTTAAAAATATATATTTTTAATCACAGTTGGAAGAATGTACATCTAAGAAGTTGCCACAAGATTTTTGTATCTTTGTGGTAGACTGTGATAAAATATGTTTGACCAGTGAATTAATTCACAGAACACATTTAGGTTAAAAATAAAAACAGAAGAGTAAATTTTATAGCTTTTATTACAACTATGGCCAAAAAGTGAGCCATATAGAGGGAGCCTGTTGTCACTGCAACAAGAGGGAAGAACAGAATAGCTTTTGCTATTCTGTTGCTGTACACTCTTGGATATTCCAAGAAACAAGATTCGAATATCATATTGGCAACTATTGCAAATGTAGATATTTGTGGATTAATCAATGTAAAGTAGGTACATTTTGTTTGGACCTTTATTTATTTTTCTACATTCTCCCCCTTTTGTATAGTGCTTCCTCTCTACCTTCAGTAAAGAATCGCCTACCATTTTGGCAGAGGTGGGTGGAAAGTTTCTTAGCTGGGCCTTAAATTCCTGCCTGTGGGGATCTCAGACTAAAACTATATATTCCTTGATATTATGAATATAACAAAGATGTTATTTTTCATATTAGGGTATGTTTCATACAGTACTTTGCTGAATGGTCTCATTTCTTCTATGCTAATTTGTTAAAAAGATATAGATTCAAATGATGAAATAATATATAAATAGGATTTATTCAATAAATATTGAAGTATTACAAATACTTAGAAGTGTTCCATTTTTTGAATCTGTTGATTCAATCCTCATAATCCATTTGTTCGTTGTAATTTCACATTTAAAAAAGGCTACTTGATTCTCAGTAGCTGAATTTTCAGTGCATGTGAGTGTTTACTATTTAGCTTATATTGGTAAGTTATCTGACATGACTATTGGTATATATGTTACCTTATGTCGTTTTGGGTAAAAGTGTCTTTTATTTTGACTTCTACAAATTGATACAATAAAGAAAACTGGAAAAAAATAGTTTACCACTATTTAAACACATTTTTTTAAAAAAGCTTTCAATTAGAGAAAGCTTTCAATTAGAGGTGTTAGTAAAATTTTTAAAAAGCAAAATTATACAGACTTGCTAACATTTGGAATAAACATAATCAGCAGTATTAATAATTTACCAAATATAAGAAACTATAAATAGCATTATCAGTGGCAAGTAATGCCATTATGAATGTTTTCTTTGTTGTGAAGTGGGATCAAAATATTGCTTTGTATAGAATTTTTTATCATTAATTTTAAAATAAAGGCACTTCTAGTAGTTGAAGATTATCATAAGAAGGAGATGATTATATATTATTTGTAAATTTTAGGAAATTTAGTAATCATGTTTTAAAGAAAATTGTAGCCATACTGAAAAATGGTTGAATATCTTATAAATAAAGTGCTCTAGCTTGTTCCCATTGCAACTGAATCCTACAATGTGCTATTTGTCTTTTCTTTATGTTGAAGTCCTTACACACTTGCTTTTCACTTCTCTCCATTAAGATATATTTATATGAATGTTCTTCAAATGACACCTGAATAAACAGCAGTTAAATCTAATGTATGGTGCTTAAATGTGTGATAGGTGACGAAATATATAAAAACTAGTCTTATAAGTTTTAAAACAACTTAGCATATTCACATATTATTAACAAGTAGTATTAGAGAATCCCATACCTTTAAAGAAGTTTGCAGTGAAATAGTAAATGTGACTGAGAATGGAAGTAAAATAGAGAAAGATGAATTCCATGTAACCTTTGGGAACCAGTAATCTGCTCTGAAGCAACCAACTACATGAAGGTCACATCAAGGCAAGAATAAAGTGACCCTGTATAAAATATTAGAACAGTTTAATGCAATATTTTGTGATTTTCAAAGGTTATAAATCTAAACACTGTACCAAATCTGAACTCTCTTGAAATCAAGTGCCGTTAAGACTACCCTGATCTACCACTCAGACATGTAATTATGTCAAATTCCAGTGCTGTATCTTCATAATAGACATTTCCAGGGCTTAAGTACACTCCACACATGAGAAGAATAATGTACATATTCTGAAACATCAAATAATAGATCAATGACTTTTCTTTGGTTTCGTTATACATTGCAATTCTATATTTGTCTCTAAAATTTCTGCCTTTGTTATTAAGCTTATTTTAGCTACTCTTTGAATAAGTTTAATTTATATAAGCAAGATGTAAATATCTGTAAAATTAAAAGTGAAAATAATTGTTTAATTCCAGCCCCCTTCCCTCCCTCCAGCAACTCTTTACAAAACAAACAAACAAAAAAAACCAACAACAAAAAACAAACAAACAAAAACCCACCACCAACAAAAAATAACCCAGCAGTTTTGCAAGCCTTTTTATGGAAAGGGGATTTGAAAAGAACAGTATTTGGGGTGCCAGTGCATTAGGAGATGTACTCATTAAGCAGCCCACCTTTCTTCCTTTCTGGGATGTTCAGGGTTCTGGGCACATAGGTGTTTTACTGAAGATAGTTGGGCACCCGGTTCACCCACAGGTTCTGTTATTGCCTTAAAACAATACAATAACCTCATCATCCATATTGTCCTTGATACTTCCATGACTAGTGATAATAGAAGGGGCATGGAGGAGAAAAGTTGTTGGCAGGTAATCTCATGTTCCAATGGCCTTTAGTTTCCATGCATATTGATTTCCCACAGAATAATACTCCAGGCATATCTCTATCTACTCCTCTTTTTTTTTTTTTTTTTTTTTTTTTTTTTTTTGAGACGGAGTCTCGCTCTGTCGCCCAGGCTGGAGTGCAGTGGCGCGATCTCGGCTCACTGCAAGCTCCGCCTCCCGGGTTCACGCCATTCTCCTGCCTCAGCCTCCCGAGTAGCTGGGACTACAGGCGCCCGCTACCACGCCCGGCTAATTTTTTATATTTTTAGTAGAGACGGGTTTTCACCGTGTTAGCCAGGATGGTCTCGATCTCCTGACCTCGTGATCCGCCCGCCTCGGCCTCCCAAAGTGATGGGATTACAGGCGTGAGCCACCGCGCCCGGCCTACTCCTCTTTAAAGAAAATAAATGATTAGATTGCTGAGTTAGGGAAAGGGAGTTAGGGCTACATAGCTCAGCTCCTTTCTACTTATCTTCAAGTTTTATACTTCCCTGACACATCCTGTGATAAGCCTCGTAGTAGAGACTCTAGTCTGGTGGTGGTAAGGCTGTGGATTTCCAGGACTTCTTGTGAGTTGTAGAAGTGCACATTGAGATTTGTAGCAAATACCACAAAGCTCACCACCATCAAAATTATTTTCTTATATTTCCCAGAAACTTTTCAGTTAGGAGACAGCCTGTGGCTAATTTGGTCCAACGTCTTTTAAGGTGAAATAAATAGCATAAGACACTTCCAAGAAGAATAAAGATAAGCTCTTGAGTGATTATTCTGTCTCTCTTTTGCTAACCCAGCAACTAGCAGCTTTTCACGATGGCACAGCTACAAGATGGTGTAGCTTTAAGCCTAAAAATGCCTGGTTCCAGAATCACCCCCCTGCCCCAACAACATCTGCCCATGCAGTTGTTTTATAACCCAGCCAGGATCGGCTTTCTGAGTGTATGACTTGTGAAGGTGCACAGGGGTCTGTGATTAGAAACTCTCAGTGTTTGATTTAATGTTGTTTTTGCCATCTTAAAATTCTTAATATTTTTGAGCAAGGGATCTCATATTTTCAAAAATTACGTAGCTAATAATGACCCCAGCAAAATCTAGAAAAACAAGTTATAACTAGGAGAGAATTTTTACAGCTGACAATAAAATCCACTCCAGCTAGTATGAAAGAACAAATGAGTTTATTTAAGAATATTATTTAGTTACTGGAATTACATGCCAAACTTTTAGAAACCATACAAATAGGAAAACTATACAATCACACCATAGAAATATTTTATTGAAAGTCTGAAGCAGCAGCAGCTTTCTGCCCCCTAAACATACAGAATGCCAGGGACCTGATAACAGAAACCCTTATATGGCTACTATTAAAAACAAACAACCAACCAACAAACGAAAACCTCCAAAAAAGGAAATAGAAAAATCTGTTCTGACTTTGCTTGCTAGAGAAGACTCATGACCTCTTCCACATAATTTTTAGTTCAGCCTTTCAAGTCTTTTATGGGAGCCTGCAGTGTAGAACTTTGTCACTTTTGAAAACTTAGCTTCAAAAGTATAAGAAATGAGATTTTACCTCGCCATTCCCTAGTTTAAAGAATATATGTTGATTGAACCAATCTGCAATATTTACCAGAGACAGGATTGATCTGTTTATTTTTTATTTTATTATGTTTTATATATTTATTTATTTATTTTTGAGATGGAGTCTCGCTCTGTTGCCCAGGTTGCAGTGCAGTGGTGCGATCTCAGATCACTGCAGCCTCTGCCTCTCGGGTTCAAGCGATTCTCCTGCCTCTGTCTCCCGAGTAATTGGGACTACAGGTGTGCGCCACCACGCCAGGCTAAATTTTTTTGTAATTTTTGTAGAAATGGGGTTTCACCATGTTGGTCAGGCTGGTCTCAAACTCCTGACCTCAGGTGATCCACCCACCTTGGCCTCCCGACGTGCTGGGATTACAAGCATGAGCCACTTTGCCCGGCCCAAGATTGGCCTGTTTAATCTTGGGACTCAGAATTGGGAAGCCATCCCAAAGACTCACTCCAAATTAATTAGGATGCTTTGTAGATGTCTTTAAACATGCCTCCTAATTATTTAATTTTCTCCAATACCACTAAAATCAATTGATATCCACATATCATTCTGGCTTTTCTGTTTTTTTCTAAAATTTTGTCTATATAAGATCTCTGTAAAAGGATCTTTAAAAAGACAAACAAAAATGCATCTCTGATCTTGATGTTCCTCTGCTTAACCAATCCTCTATTTCAAAACAAACCATTGCTTTGAGGATGCATCCAGCGTCTTAACGTGGTATACTAGGCTCTCCATCTTCTGGCCCTTACTTTTCTTTCTATTTTCATGTCTTTTCACACTCCATCTTGCACTCTATCTTTCATCCATATTGAACTATTTTTTTCTAGCCTATAAGCTTCCTCTCTACATGCAGTTATTTTGCATGCACTGTTCTCCCACTTTTTCCAAATTCTGTCTGCCTTCACTTGGCTAATTCCCATTCTTAGGTAAGGACTTGGCTTAAATTCACTTCTGAGGTTTTTTTACTGTCTCCCTTTCCCAGCCACAGATTAGTATGCCCTACTTTCTGATTCCCTTGCATTCTTTACTTTTCCTGTGTTAACTGCATGGAAATTACTTGTATAATTGTCTATATTCTCTGATAAACTACACACTCTGTGAAGACTGAGGACATGATTGTTTCATGTATTGATGCATCTTTATACCTAACAAAATTTCTCAGAGATAATGTGCTATCAACAAATTTATGAATAATAACAGAATGAATAGATGAGTGAGTGGATGAATACATAAACCAATGATTAAATGAAAGAAAATGTAGCTCTGGCTTCTAAGTATGTTTTATACTATCCAATGGTTCTGTTTGTTATATAGTGAGACAAGTTCTGGAGACCTAGGTTTTCTCTTTGGATAGTCCATGGGTTTATTAATTCAACAAATATTTCTCATAAAATTACTATATGCCTAGCCCTATGGCTTTGTGTCTTTGTTTACCCAAGCTAAATATTCAGGATCTCAGTTTCATCATTTGCAGTATCAGAGTAATAATATTTATCTGAAGAGTAATAATATTTATCTGAAGTTTTTTGTAAAAATCCAGTGAATTTACAAAAATATTAATTTTGTATTACTGTTAGTATTGTTAAATAGTTGAGTTTCCTATTAGATGCTGTTTGTATTATTGACAGTGTTTTAGAGAATTTATTCCTATTAATATGTAGATATATGACTTACTTCACTAATATATAAGCAGAATATGTTGAGACTGATAAATAGTTTAGAATAAAATTTTAACTTAATAAAAACATGCTCTGTATTATTTGTCTAATTTATGGTGTCCATCCCAGAGACTTAAGGTACAATCACATTTTTATATTTCCCTTAGGATTTGCAACCTCAAAAAAAATCCATACTCAGACTCAAGTTTTGGACTGCTCTACAACTGCATTTATCTTACATCAATGCAATTGCATTGTCCATCCTACCATCTAAATTTATCTATCTATCTATCTATCTAATTAGCTGTACTACTGTATTTGTGCAATCTATCTCAGAAATAGTAGTCTAATCCAGATTAAAATTGAATTGAAACTCCACTTTCTGACATGAAATGAACTAAATACAGGGAAAAATTAGAAGTGATCAAGAGGAAGAAGAATGTATGTGTGAACATCTGTCATGCCAAACTCTACTGTTCCCACTTATACATTGTACATTATATCTCTCCCAAAGTTAGAGCTTGCATTTCAAAGAAATGTCATTGCAAATTAAATTTATCTGACTGCCAGTCAAAATGTCCATTATGGGCACAATTTGCATTTTAACGAATACTTCCATTGTTATATAATTTCAAGCATATTTTGAACATAATTCATGGCTTCAACCCTCTATAGACAACCCTACTGTTCATTCCACATTACCTGATACAGACCTCTATAAATTTTTCAGTTATCTGTTTCATCTTTACTTTAATACCAAACATTTTCTTTTTATTTCATATACATTGCTCCTTTCTGCCAAAAAAGGTCTCAGGGATTTTTTTGTGTTTTGTTTTTTAGGTTTTTTACTTGTCTTTAGGTTTTTTCCTCACATTTTTGCCTAGATATTTTTTCTTTCTCCTGTGGTTCACTAAATACTTTCCTGACTTATTTGACTCCTGCACCCTTTTATATCACAAGGTATATCCCTCATCCATGGTGCATATCACATTTGTAATGTCACTTTACTTTTTATGTACAGTTGATTAATGTCTGTGTCACCCAGTAGATTATATGAACCAAGGGAGCATGTCTCTTCATGCTCACAATTTTAATTCCAGGATCTGGCCTATTAATTTACACATAAGAGGTTTTCTATACATGGTTTAGAATGAATAAATGATTCCCCAATCCCTGGGGTATGAGGTAGGTGAATTTATAAGTCAAATTGAGACACATAGAGTCAATTTAAATACATAAAAATATCATTGTTATATAAAATATAGGGACAGAAATATAAGAAATAACGAGAGTTGAGAAAGGATGCTGCCATTCATGGTGCCTCCTACTTTATCACACTCTACTGTAATTCTCACTGTAAACTCATGTGGTTTTTATTATTCTCATTTTACAACTGAGAGACATATGATGCAAAACGTTTAATTGGTTCAACTCCCTACCCCTAGGAAGTGGTGAGGCTGAGCTGTGTAACCCATTCTAATCACCTCCAAAGCCCACTCTCTTTCCACCACTCCATGATTGAACTACTTGCTTCAGAACTTCTGATACTCTGTGAGATTCTCTTCAGCTTGGGGCTTTGGCCTCTGGAGTCTAAAGAATGAGTTATGTAGAAATTGTGAGTTTAATCCTATCTTAGACTCACGTCTTCTTAATTGCGTTTTCTCTCTTTTTTCCCCATAAGTGCAGTCACAACTTAAATGCTTCTGCAATTGTTGATGACTACACTTACAACATGCCAGATGTTATTTCATTTAAATTATGCCCACACAGTGCAGGTGCAAAATGGAGGCCACAATTGCACAAATTTGGACTTAAGTAGTTCTGTGTTTTCATTTAATCTCTATGCTTGGCTCAATGTAAATCATTTTCTTCACTTTTTTTTTCTACTTTCTATCTTCCTACTAAACTTTTAAAATATATTACTTTAAAAGTTCTCAAAAGTGAGAATGGTACATATATTTTTTAGAATAAAAAAGCCTTTGCCTCTTAGGTAGACTTTGCATTTTCCCAGACTGCAAAAAGAATTATCTTGCCTATTTTTATTTGAACAAATATAATATGGCTAATCCAGCCATGCTTTCCAAAGAGAATACATGGCCATAAAGCATCAAATATCGATACCAAATGGATCAACTATAATCCCACAATTACACCTCATTTAAGAGCTGAACCCCTCCACGTTTCTCTTAATTTTACTTAAATGTGTTCTCTGTTCATTCTTTCATGCTGTCATGTCCCAAAATGTAATACTTGTAACTTTGTATGGCATCTGCAGTGGGGGTCTATTGGCTGTTATACCTGAACTAGAAAGAAAAGAAAAGGAAAAAATCTAAAATGTCTATAACAACGCTCATCCTAGGATACATGCTAGATCACGATTTTATAGTTTCTGAGCAACTACTGTATTTCATTAAACCCAAGACAAGATCAATTTTATGACACACTATTGTTTTAATTATCATTAAGAACACACTGTAAATTAAAATGTATCTCAGTATTTTCTTACTTTTTATACTATGGAAAAAATATTTTTGGACTCAATTTAGACTTGCATTTAAAAATGTATCACTCTTGTATATACATTTAAAAAGGACATACAAGAGATATATTTTGGTTAAAGTACTCCTAAAATATGTTCGATTTAGTCTGGCTCTTTGGAATCACCAGAATTGTCAATCTTTTTATTTTACCTCAGTATAACATATCCCTTGTGAACTTCAATAGTATTAATAATAAAATGATACAGGATTACCTTCAGAAATACTTTAGTTTTGTCACCAAGATATTTTTCCATGTCAATTACTGCCATTCTGCAGACTTAATTTTGTTGTTCTCTTGGACTTTTCAGAAGATATTATGGAATATCTTTTGACAACAATGATAAACCATATACCTTTTTCTCAAATGGTTCTTAAATGCCCTGTTGATATAAAGCAAGGGGTTACGGCTATTGAAGGGTGGCAGAATATGCCACCCCAAAATATGCCACTTTGGCATAAAGACTATTTTGAGCTAAAGGCAAATTATAAATACCACAGATGCAAGAAGAGCACTCTGACCCTCCCCTTTCACTGTACAAATGGACTTTATTAAAATAATTATTATCTTCCTTTAGCCTCTGCACAGGGTTTAGCTACTTTTACATAATTGCCTCTCTTTGTTCAACCTAGTATAAAAACATGTAGATTTGGCCACTTCTTTGAGTCTTCAGTTTTTCATGAAAGCTCTCATGTCATTTAACACTTACGTGAAATACATGTTTATGCTCTTCTCCTGTTAATTTGTCTTATATCAATTTAATTCTCAGGCCCAGCCAAAACTCTAAGAAGGTAGAGATAAAATTTTGCTTACCCTACATTGTCCAGCTATGTTCATAAGAAATGACAGCTAAGGTCCCCAAAGCATAGGTAATCGCTTCTACTGCTTGGCCTATGACAATGTTAAGAGGCATCAACATTTTAAAGAACTTAAAATATAAATATGTACATATAATACACACATAAGCCTCCTTTTCAAAAATAAAATTTGGGTAACCCAATAGCAATCTAAGATTGGCTAGTGTTATACCATGCCTGGCTAAATGGTTTTATTGGATATCTGTTGCCATGTTTCCATTAAACTAATGAGGTCCACCTATCCAGTGAATTATTATACTATAGATTTCCTCTCTGGAGATGATAAGCTTAACCATGTGTTCCTTGTTTTTTGAAATCTGTGTCACTTCATCTTTGCATCATGCTCCTTCCTATAATATTTTAACTTATACATCCAAATAGTTAAAGAAGCATTCACTAAGTACTGCCCCAGGGAAAGAAGGAATTAACACAGCTAACATTTTATGGTCACCTATCATTATGAACAAGTGATAGTTTTAGATCTGCTTTTTAAATTAAATCTCAGGAACAATTTAGTATTTATAATTGTCATCTTTAAAATGAGGTAACAAGAGATTGCTTTGGTTACATAATTTAATCAAGATAATCCACAGTAGAACTTCTATGTTATAATTGAAACTTTTGATATCCTTTTAACTTCTCTTCCTATTCTAATTCCTTATATGCTAACCAACATATATTAGTTTTTCTTCTTATTTTTTATGCTATTTTCATTTAATAAATGCTTCCTTTAACATCTCTGAACCACTCCATGTTTATGCTTATTGAAGTACAAATAAACACTTGATGTTTTATTTTGGGTTTTATGTACGTGGAATGATTATATGTTCATTCCAAACAAGGCCCAATTAATAAAGTCCCTTAAAAATCTGATCAAGTTACTTGATCATAGCTAAAATTTAAAATTGCGTAGGAATAGGCAATAAGGATGAAGGACCAATATCAAAGACTATGAATTTGGGGCACTGTCTTAATATATTCTTAGGAAATACAGTAGTATGTAGGAAGCAGCAACCGATATAGTAGAGGAAGAAAAGGCAGTGTTCCTTTTGAAAGGCACACCCCAGTAAAATGCTGAGTTTGGCCGTGAGAAAGGCAAAGACTGCTACATCATCTGCTTCTTAATTAGAAAAAATAGCTTTAGAATATAAATACCTTCACTGCCACGGAGTTCATTTAGATAGAACCTTTCTTAAATGTAAGGTAGAAGGAATTACGTGCTGGTGTTTTACGTATCAGCAAAAATATTTAGAAAATTTTGTATTTAAAACCTGCATTATATGAACTGGAAATTAAAATTTAAGTTAAACAGGTAAGCTGATTTTATCTGATCATAAAAAGAGGGAGACTTACGTCTCCATATTTTTCATTTGCCTAAAAAATATGTACTGATTATTCTCCCTGGATACATTTGTGTTGTCTGGAGATAGGGGATGAAAGGTTGCCTGAGGTTGCATTCTCCATCTGAAATTAGCAGGACCAATTATCTTCATTTCCTATAGGGTCTGTAGTATATTTTCCAAATAGAATGCCTGAAGATATTGTTGTATCTAAGTCTTAACATTTAAAATTTGTCAATGTAGCTATGAAAGTTTGCTACATAGATCAAGACAAGCATTGACTTTTCCTTCTCTATATCTATGAAAGTCTCAGATAGCATCTTATTCTGATATAAAACTGCTTTGTCTGTATTGAAAATATGTTGTTTAGTGTGGCCACCTTCCTGAGTTGCCTTAACTCCATCTGGATAACTTGCTGGAGTTTCTCCATCAGCGCGTAATGCTTCATTTTGCACTTTTGTGTTGTGGAGATGGCGTCTTTCCTTAAACTTCATGAACCTTTTTTTTTTTCTGCAGCTTTCGGACCTCACTCTGCCTTTATGAAATAAAAGAGGGCCTTGCTCTGGTTTAGGCTTTGGCTTTATGGAATGTTGTGACTGGTTTGATCTTTCCAGATCGCTAAAACTTTTTCTATATCAGTAATAAGGCTGTTTTAGTTTCTATGTTCATTTTTGTGTTAATTGGAGTAGCATTTTTAATTTCCTTCAATAACTTTTCCTTTGCATTCACAGGTTGGTTAACTGTTTCAAGCAAGAGGTCCAGCTTTCAGCTTGTCTTGGCTTTCAACATACCTTCCTCACTAAGATTAATCATTTCTAGCTTTTGATTTAAAGTGAGAGATGTGTGACTCTTCCTTTCACTTGAACACTTAGAGGCCCTTGTAGTGTTATTAATTGGCCTACTTTCAATATTGTTGTGTCTCGGGAATAGGAGGCCCGAAGAGAATGAAAGAGACAGTTAGTGGAGCAGTCAGAACACACAAAACATTTATCTATGAAGTTTACTTAATAGATATGTCTTATATGTCTTATATGGGTTTGGTTTATGGTGCCCTCAAATATTACAATAGTAGCATAAAAGTTACCTTATCACAGATCACTATAACAGGTACAATAACAATGGAAAAGTTTGGAATATTGTGAGACTTACCAAAACACGATACAGAGAGGTGAAGTGAGCACACGCTCTTGAAAAATGGTGCTGAAAAATTTGCTTGAGTCAAGGATGCCACAAACTTTCCATTTGTAGAAAAACAGAGTATCTGCAAGAAGCGATAAAGCACAGCATAATAAAAGGAGATATGCCTATACAATTACTGTGTCAGTTTTTAGAAAACCCCATACTTTCTAGTTACTGTTTTATCATTTCTTCTTTTTTCTAAAAGTTGAGTTTTGAAAAACAGAAGTTTCATTAATGTTTTATTATATATAAATAATGGCCAGTAAGAATATACAAATTAGCCTGGCAAACAGAAAACTGCAATTATTTTATGCCTCATTGGAAGATAGAAGTATCAAGGAAGGCTCCTGGAGATCAGAATGTGCTTTGAAATTACTCAACACAATCAATAAGCAGTCAGTGGAAAATGTGAATGAGTGCACATCCAAATCTATAATAATAAAATGTTAGAAGCGAGAGATAATAAATCAGTTTGATCAAAAATACAGATGGATCTGGACAGCTGGAGAAATTATTCAGATTAGAAAGAGATGAGTTCTAATGAAAATAATAGTAGGATCATGCATTTGAAGAAGAATAATACATAGCAGAAAAATATAAACTAATAAAAAGCTAAGATATATATGAAGTAATTAGAGAGAACTTTATTTTAGTGTATTTGTTGATATACTGAAAAAGAATTTTAAGTCCAGTGTTAAAACAATGAAGGATAATTTTGTTCTAAGTTTCCTAACTTGAACAATTGGGAAAAAAAGAGAAAAATTATAATGCCACTTAGCTAAACAATAAAATTTTGTCCATAAGCTTAATGGAGATTTTATAAACTTAGCCGATTTCAGAACAAAGTAGAAATTGTAATAAAACCTTGATCGAGCATTTAGAAAAAATATAAATTCTTGTGCCAATTATATCCTATTTGCTTTGTAGTCTTGACAAGCCTGATTCTCTCTAGGACTTACTAAAATCATTATAGTAAGAGTTAATGACAAAACTAGAAGTCATATATAAAGGTAAACGATTACTATTAACCTTATTAATATTAGTTTTAATATTATTTATTTATAAACAAATACAGTTATGTTCCAGATAAAATACAAACGTGTTCTAGTGAGGGTACTTAAATATGGTTTTATAAAACTTATATAAAATATGTTTCATAAAACTCCTGAACACTAAAATTTTAACCTTGTATCTCATCCAGTTAGTCAGTGTGGGCTGCCATAGCAAAATCACATAGACTGGTTGTCTTGAACAACAGACATGGATTTCTCACAGTTCTCTCTTCTTGTACGGACACTAATCTTATCACTGTCATCTACTCTTAAGATCTCATCTAAACCTAATTACCTCCCAAAGGCCCTACCTCCTTAATCCATCAAACTGGGGCTAGGGCTTCAGCATATGAATTTGGGCGGACACAAACATTCAGTCCATAACTCCAGGTGTCATTTATTTTTCTCTCTACTCTTTAAGAAAATAAATCTATTGTCTTGGGTTTCTCTCTTTTATGTCCTTTTAGAGTGTCTTTTTGTTTGTTTGTTTGTTTGTTCAACTATCTCTTCTGTCCTACATAATTGTGCTTATCATTGTCACCAATGGTAATGATTTACAATAGTTTTAATAAGTCATAATTACTATCACTTCTCATTTCATGTGATGTCAGGTAAGTGAGTGCTTTCTTGTTTTGTCACTTGCAAAGAAAGGAGAAAAAAATTTAGTATTCATTGTAGCTTCTTCACTTTTATAAATGGTGTTTCTTCCTGCACTGCTTTCTGCTGCAGTCCCAGAAGCACTTACTAATTCTGAACCCCTCTCTTGGGTGATTCTCTGAATTGGAAATTGTGACCTTGAGGCAGTACTGATAGATCACTTCTTGTGTGCTGTGACTCCATGACTATGTTGAATTCCAGAGAAGAGCATCTTTCCTTTGCTCTGGGTGATTCATTTATCTCAAGGGTCTTTGCTACTCTTCCCTCATGGGGACAATTTCATGTATGTGACCTCTCTGGGCACTGAATGCAAGTACAAACACATGGCCAATTATATGCTTACAATATATTCATATAGCTAAGAGGATGGAAGAAGCCAGGTAGAACATATAAATCAAGGAGTCTATTCAGCCAAATAATTTCATGATATAGCATATATGGGTCAGAGAATATTTTTGAATAAATCACACATCTTAGAAATTATTAGTAAAACAAATGTTTACTTGAGAATTGAACTTATTTTTTACATTGCTATTTTAACATTTGACTATAATACTTACACTAATACTTAAATCAAATTTTAAGGACAAATCAGGATTATCTCATTCAATAACCAGCATCCTAGAAAATAGTTCATTAAGATTTTTCCTTATTACAAGGGAGGAAACTGACCACATCCCAAGGGCTCCCAGATGATAGGCAGGAGAACCAGGGTTAAGATATATGTTTATTACAATTCAGAGCAGTCCAAGATCTTAAAAACTGTCTCTACATATTGGGAAAATATTATAGTCAGCAAAAGTCTGAGTCCCTGAGTGTATTTGTGAAGCTAAAGTCCTGGAGGTAAAAGTGACATTCCAGCCCTCATATTCTACACTGATCAGGCATGAAACAAAAGCCTTGTATCTAGAGTTTGGAAAGTATAGAAAACCCTTCTACTCCTGGCTTTTACAGGCATACATTGAAGACCTTGATAAAGTTATTTAGGAAAGTCAGTACATTGCTGACTCTGTCCTGGAAGCACACATTCCAGAAGACATGCAATAAATTATGGATTGTTTAAAGGCCCAGTATAATACAATGAAATGACAATCATCCTGAAAACCAAGGTCTTGCTGGGCAAATCCTACACTTGGCAGCAACTCTCTCCTGACCTATAGGGCTTAGAGCTGTCATTGTATTCTGTTACCTCCATAGTTCATCATCAGTCTCCATTATACTGTGTTATATGGATACATAAGCACCCTATTTATGGATTGGCTTCATAAAAGAAAATATCACTAAATATTATAAAACAAAAGTAGCCACATTATACTGAGAGTAAACTCAGGAGAAAAATCAAAAATGGAAAGAAAGATAAGGAAGAGCAAAACACTTTCATATATGAGTACATATTACATCAAATGTTTCTTTGTAGCCATGGAAGTAAAATGATAGGTGTTAATGTCAGTAAAACAGTGTTTACTAACTTATCACATAATAAATGATTTGCTTTATCCTAGAGTTTATGGTTCTATCATGCTTTTTTTTGTAAGTATCAATACCAGTGTTAGGAGCTAAGGATGCTATATTAATCAATGCACTCTATAATACAATTTAGTTGTGGGGAGCAGTAACCCAATGCAGACTGTTCCAAACAAAAATAAAGAGAAGGAGTATTTGGCAGGCATAACAGAGAAGTTCAAGCATAGAAACAGTTTTAGGTATGACATGATATATGTGTTCAAATGAGATAGTCAAGAATAGCTCACAAGGTAAGTCTTCACTACCGATTTGCTTTTATCTTTGTTGACTTTATTTTTAGTCAGTTATTCTCAAACACAAGTAGTGCCAAGTGACAACCAGTGACAGCAAGATGATATTGGATCAGGTAAAAATTTCTTTTTGAGAACATACAACAAACAAACAAACATTCTTTTTATTGAGTTTTAACAAACTCATATGTAAGGATCTCACTGGTTCAACTGAGGTAATGAGTCATTGAGAAGCTTAAAGTGCCCTGAATGGCCACACTGGGGTTACATCTATTCCTAAAGCTCAAAGTTGAGCCAAACTCTCTCAAATCACATGGACTAAGATTGAGGAAAGAATTATCTCTTCCCCAAAAGTAAAGCTTCTTTTACCAAATAAAACCTAAATGGTTGCTGGGTAGGCAAAATATTAGGTCTCCCATATGAATGACACCCGGGGAAGAAATGAAAATGAAAACAATTTAAGATTAATAATGTATGCTCAGAGCTTAGAGAACCTTTAAACACTATCATTTCCTTTGTTCAGTATTCAGACATGATTTATTGTCAAGCACTGTGTTAATGTTGTCTTCAATTAGCAAAATACACTTGAAATTATCAAGATCCTGGACTAGAATGCATCAATTACTTTTACAGCCATGGTTAGTAGACATGCTCTCATGTGAAGCCAATATATTTTTTAGCCAAAAGAAAGACTGGACCACAGAAACTCAGCCTGTAGAAATTTAAAAAGAGTTGTTGATTATTTGAAATAAACAGAAATAGCAGCAGGCAGCTGGCAGCTAGAAATCTGCGATGGGTTGATACCATTTTGGAAAAAAAAATGTCTCTGTAGGACTACATTACAGAGACTAATAGAAAAAAGGTAGAGCTTCAAACACAAAGGCATGTCTGAAAGCAGAAACCTCACTTGCTAAAGAGCAGCTTCCAATAACTGCCTGCTTCATAACAGGTTCTGGTCTTTTCAGTCTCTTCCTCCACTATCACCATCAGTTTCAAATATTAAAGTATGATAATTATGTTTGCATGCCATAAAGGTGTAAATGCCATGCACACCCTTATGGGAAAACCATCCCATGGACTTAAGCAATATAATGAAATGACCCTGTCTCCAAAACAACCAACCATACAAACCACAAAAAATAGCAACTACAATTTCATGCCCAAATTCCAGTAATCAAAATAGAGATCTTATACCTCAGCCCCAGTTCAATTTAAGACTACTTGAAAAAACATGATTAAAATCATATGAAAAGTACATTGTCTAGTCTGCCTGAAGCCAGGAAAATCAAAATTTGAGTGAGAGTTTGTTTTAGTCATAGAAATTATATTAGCAAGCTCTTGTATACATGTGCTGTATCTAGTTTAGTCTCATCACAGTTTAAAAAATGTATGAGTGTATGTATATGTATATGTGCCTGTCTGTAGGTATGTATTTATGTATAATATTGTCCTTAATGGCAAAGGTATTCAGTTAGGCTCTTAAGAACATGCTATAAAAAGAACAATTCTTATGGTGTAATTTAAATGCAGTATGAGAAAAAGGATTAAGTGCATACACTTTCATTTAGCAGGTTCAGCTAGCTTATTTGTGCATCCAACATAAACTCTTAAAAATTACCATAAGCGAAATATAACAGATTATAAACGGTTGCTCATATTAATTTAGCTAAGTACTTGTAATCTGCCTAAGCGTTATTTAACAGAACATAATTGCAAAACAGTATGATACCTCCAGAGTTTGAAAGACTCTCATGTGCCTAAATCATATTTAGCAATCATAAGGCCAAAATAGAAAATACTTAAACAGGAGATACTTTTCAATACATGCAGATTTATTTTTCTTCCAAATGGAAAAGTACATTTGATTGAATCAGAAAATCAACAAAAAATCTCTGGACTTGAATGGGACTCTAGACGGAGCTAATAGCCATTTACAAAAATATTCTATCTAACAGTGGCACAATATACATTTTTCTCATCTATGCATGGAATATCCCCCAAAATACACCATATGCTTGGCTACAAAGTTTCAATAAATTCAAAAATATCAAAATTATATCAAGTATCTTCTTGGACCACAGTGGAAAAAAATTAGAAGTCTACATTTGAAATTATTTCTGAAACATAGTTCCACCTCTTGGTATTTTATTTCATTCATCTTTGAAGCAAATGCAAACACAGTAAGGAAAAAGGAGTAAACCACTGTCTGAAAGACAAAACACTAGTTTTGTAAGAACTAGGCTTTGGTGGCCGGGCGCGGTGGCTCACGCCTGTAATCCCAGCACTTTGGGAGGCCGAGGCGGGCAGATCACGAGGTCAGTAGATCGAGACCCTCCTGGCTAACACGGTGAAACCCTGTCTCTACTAAAAATACAAAAATATTAGCCAGGCGTGGTGGCGGGCGCCTGTAGTCCCAGCTACTCGGGAGGCTGAGGCAGGAGAATGGCTTGAACCTGGGAGGCGGAGCTTGCAGTGAGCCGAGATTGCGCCACTGTACTCCAGGCTAGGTGACAGCTGAGCGAGACTTGTCTCAAAAAAAAAAAAAAAAAAAAAAAAAAAGAACTAAGCTTTGGTGAAAGATAAAACGTTTTCTTAAAATTCTAAAAGACCTACCTATATTGCATAGTGCTGGAATCTGGGCTGTTAGTGTAACCATTACCCAAATAGTGTAAATTGTACCCAATAGATAATTTCTCATCCCTTGCCCTATCTCTCACCTTTTGGAGTCTCCAGTGTCTATTATTCCACTCTGTATATTCATATATAGACATTGTCTAGCACACACTTTAAGAAAACGTACTGTATTTGACTTTCTGTTTCCGAGTTATTTCACTTAACATAATGGCCTCTAGTTCCATCTATGTTGTTGCAAAAGACATGATGTCATTCTTTTTATGGCTGAGTAGTATTCCACAGTGTGTGTGTGTCTCTCTCTATACATATGCGTATGCATATAAATATGCATATATATATCGCATTCAGTATATATATAATATAACATATTCAGTGTGTGTATGTATACACACCACATTTTCTTTATTCAATCATTCATTAATGGACACTTACTTAGGTTGGTTCCATGTCTTTGCTTTTGTGAATAGTGTTGCAATAAAGATATGAGTGCAGGTGTCACTTCATATATTGATTTCTTTTCCTTTGGGTAGATACTCAGTAGTTCTATTTTTAGTTCTTTGAGATATCTCCATTCTGTTTTCTATAGAGGTTGAACTAATTTATATTCCTACCAATAATGTGTAAATGTTCCCTTTTCTCCACATCCTCATCAACATCTGTTGTTTTTAATTTTTAAATAATAGCCATTCTGACTGGTGTAAGACAGTATCTTAATGTGGTTTTAATTTGCATTTCTCTGATGATTAGTGATATTGAACATTTTTTCATATGTTTGTTGCCGCTTGTATGTTTTTTTAAAAAAATGTCTGTTTCATGTTCTTTGCCCACTTTTTAGTGGAGTCATTTGAATTTTCTTGTTGTGTTGTTTGAGTTCCTTATAGCTCTGGATATTAGCCAGAATTGTCTAATGAATAGTTTTCAAATATTTTCTTCCATTCTGTAGATTTTCTGTTTATTATTATTTCTTTTGCTGTGCAGAAGCTTTTTAGTTAATGAAGTCCCATTTGCCTATTTTTGTTTCTGTTGTGTTCGCTTTTGAGAACTTTGCCATAAATTCTTTGCCTAGGCCAATTGTATTAATCTTACTGAAACTGTTCCAAAAAATCGAGGAGGAGGGAATTCTCCTTATCTGATTCTATGAAGCCAGCATTACCCTGATTCCAAAGCCAGGCAATGATACAACAAAAAAGAAAACCAGAGACCAATATCATGATAAACATAGACGCAAAAATCCTCAACAAAAAACTAGCAAATTGAATCCAACAGTACATCAGAAAGATAATACAGCAAAGTTTTATTCCAGCAATGGAAAGATGCTTCAAAATATACAGATCAATAAATGTGATTCACCACATAAATAGAATTAAAAACAAAAGCTGTATGATTATCTCAATAGATGCAGAGAAAGCATTCAATAAAATCCAGTATCTCTGCATGACAAAAATCCCCAAAAAGGAGGCATTGAACAAACATACTTCAAAATAATAAAAGCTATCTATGACAAACTCACATCCAACATCATTCTGAACAGGCAAAATTTGAAATCATTCCCCTAAGAACCAGAACAAGATAAGAATACCTACTTTCACCACTCCCATTCAACCTGGTACTGGAAGTCCCAGCTAGAGCAATCAGGCAAGAGAAAGAAACAGAAAGTATTTAGATTGGAAAAGAGAAATTCAAATTATCTTTATTCATTGATGATATCATCTTATACCTAGAAAACTCTAAAGATTCCTCAAAAAGAATATTGCATTTAATAAATGACTTCAGCAAAGTTTCAGCATACAAAACCAACGTACAAAAATCCATAGCATTTCTATACACCAATAATGATCAAGCTGTGAAAAAAATCAAGAACTCAATCCCATTTACAATAGCTACAAAAAAAAACCTAGGAATACATTTAACCAAGGAGATGAAAGATCTCTACAAGGAGAGCTATAAAACACTGATTAAAGAAATCAGAGATGACACAAACAAATGGAAAAACACCCCATGCTCATGAATTGGAAAAGTTAACATCATCAAAAGGACCATACTACCAAAAGTAATCCTCAAATTCAATGCCACTCCTATCAAATTATCAATGTCGTTTTTCACAGAATTAGAAACAAACAACCCTAAAAATTCAAATGGAACCAAAAAACAGCCTGAATAGCCAAAACAATCCTAAACAAAAGGAACAAAGCTGGAGGCATCACATTATCTGACTTCAAATTATATTGCAAGGCTATAGTAAACAAAAGAGCATGATACTGGTATACAAATAGATATATAGATCAACAGAACAGAATAGAGAAGTCAGAAATAAAGCCACATGCCTGCAAGCAACTGATCTTTGGCAAAGTTGACAAAAACATACACTGGAGAAAGGACATCCTATTCAATAAACAGTGCTGGGAAAACTGGCAAGCTGTATGTAGAAGAATAAAACTGGAACCCCTATCTCTCACCATATACAAAAATTAACTCAAGATGAATTAAAGACTTAAATGTAAGACATAAAGCTATAAAAATCCTAAAAGGAAGCCTAGCAAAATTAGACTTGAAATACTAAGAGCTGATTTTGAAATACTGAGAGATACGTTTTATGTTATAAAATACAAAGAAGGAAAAATGTAGCAAAATGATTTTCAAGCCCAAAAGAAAATAACGATTTATCTGGGTGAGTGGTCCGTGGACAAGCAGCATCAGCATCACCTGGAAAGTTGTTAGAAACTCAAGTTATCAGGCTCCACCCAGGACCTCCTGAATCACAAACTCTGGCGGTGGAGCTCTGCAATCTATGATTGAAGACATTTTCTGGCCAGGTGCAGAGGCTCACGCCTGTAATCCAGCTATTTATGAGGCTGAGGGAAGGAGTGTTTCAGCCCAGGAGTTTGAGACCAGCCTGGAAAACATAGTGAGACCCCATCTCAAAGAAAAAAAAAAAAAAACACACACAACAAAAAATACTTTCCAGCACAGCACACTGTAGATTATCAGTTGTTCACCATCGTGATCTCTTGGCCATCTGGGAGCTTTGGCTCACTGGCTGCCCAGAACTAGAAGGGAGTATTGTATCATACAACATATTTTCAGCTTGGGAATATATCACAATTCAAAATTTGAAGTACAGTTTCTACTGAATGCATATTGTTTTCTCACCATTGTAAAATTAAACAATCGTAAGCTGAACCATGGTAAGTCAGAGACCATCTGTAGTTGATTTACCTTGAACGAATAATATTTTGAAAATGGGGGCTTATGAGTTAACTTGTTTTCATTTGTAGAAAAGCAATGGCAGTTTTCTTTTTTTTTCTGTTCCAGTCTGTAACTGTTCATTTTGAACATGGTACCATTAAATTATGGAAGATTTTTAAGGACGGAAAGGGTCCCATGATTATACTGTTAATATTTTTAACTTGAAAGATACGGCTATGCATTGATTTTAAGAATTTCAGTAACTGACATTTGATAGGTATAAACTGTGCTTCAAGTATTATGCTTGGCCCTTCTCCCTTGCTATGTCATTAATATGCCTGACAACTCTATGGTACATATTATTTTATATATCAGAAAAGTATTTTAAAAATTACCAGAGGTCACATTACAGTAAGATGCAAACACAGATGTTTAATATCAAAACCTTATATCTTGAAATCTATGCTATGCAAGAGTGGCAATAATTGATACCTGAAGAATGTAAATAATATTGACTAAATGCTAAATAGAACATCTGACATAAATTATATATATTAGGTAGTCAATAAATACATGTTAAATGAATGGATAAATACCACTCAATTTATATGTACTCACCTGTGTATTTGATTAAGAACTTTACTCACCCACCTTATCTAAATCACACTGCCCTTTTCCCCACATCTCTTTATCCTGATTCATATTCCTTCTTCACACTTACCACCACCAGACTTTTATAACTGTTTGTAAACTCACTTGGTATTTGTCTTTCACACTCATGTGCAAGCTCCATGAGAGCAGGGTGGTCTCTCTAGCCTACTGCTGTATCCTTAGTGTATAGTATGTAGTGGAGGTTTAATAAAAATCTCAATAAAATACTTATAAATGAATGAGCAAGTTTTCTTGCAATTTTCAATAACAAATATTTGTGAATGCATATTCGCCTCCAGCTAATCCCTTTTCCTTCTATTACATAGACATTGAATACTAAGAAAACATTCCATAATCTTATTCATGGGTCTTAAGGGGACAGTTTCAAAATGTTTACCAGTATATGAATATAGATTCTAACTGTTGAATATCCCCCTCCCCTGCAGACAGCAGACAGTCACACTGATTGTTTTTTGACAGTTTTGAAGCTAATAAAGTGCCACAGCAATGTAAGCTTTCAGAATGGCAGTTGTATGAGTTTCTAGAGAAAGGGGAAAAGTAAAACAGTCAGAGCCAGAGACCAGGTTAAAACAGAAGAGTGATTGGGGATGGGAATCACAATATCACCTCTGCCTTTCAAAGATTTATACTACCCTCTTGTGGTAGAGGTAATCCTGAACTCCACTGAGCCACTGTGGAGTGGTCCCTCACACCAGCTGCTTATCATGGTTAACCCAGCAGAGCACACCAAGTTCCTAGGCCGGGAGCCAATTGCAACAAAAACACAACTCAGAACAAGAGCACAAAATGAAAGGTTTTAGGACAGCAATTTAACACTCAGCAATTCCCAGGAACCTTTTATTTCAGCAGGCTGGGAAGAATTTTGGTTCTTATTTGTTTTCACCTAGCAAAGACATCTGTTGGCACCCAGAGCTGCAGAAAGTGTCTGCCAAATCCATGATAGTCTTGGCCAGTTTTCAAGGATGTGCTGTACAGTACATTAAACATTATCCTACAGGAAAGCAACCTGTGACCACCCAGATCTCTGTACTAAAGACCCAGCCAAAACGTAAAGATTTCTTGATTGGCTGACAGATCATCTTGAGTTGATTTACCACTTCAGCTCTAAGAGCAAATGTAACAGCTGCAAGAAATCTCTGTTTTGCTCACTCAGCTTGCAGAAAACACATTTTAGTTTGAGAACATTTCCTTCCTTCCTTCCTTTTCTTCCTTCCTTTTCTTCCTTCCTTCCCTCCTTTTCCTTCCTCCTTCCTTCCTTCCTTCCTTCCTTCCTCCCTCCCTCCCTCCCTTCCTTTTTTCCCCTCTCTTCTTTTGTTCATATATATATATATATATTTTGCTGGCTTTTGCTGAATATGTAAGTGACTCTGTTCTTTCATTATTTTGCTTTAATTTAATCATGTCTTTTCTTGGCTTCTCATCAGCTTTGTTTTATAGTCTGGGTTCCCTCAAACAAGCCAGAAAAGGAAGGGAATTAGAAAAAGGCATAACATTTTTTCAAGTATGCTTGTCTTAGAAATATTTAAAAAGTAATACCATACTTTTAAAATCTCTAAACATAGACTCGGAGGTAAGACATGCTTATCTTAAAAAGTAGTCATTTACTTGCCTTTCTTATGTTGGGTACATGCAAGAAACTAACTTAATTGCAGTATGGACGCTTTCATTTCCTCAACCGTGAATACAGCAAACTATGAAAAGAAGGGAGCATCAGAAAGGAAAAGAAATAGCAAACCAAAGGCTATTGCCACAACAGTGTAAGAAACTGGCCAGAGCTTGAAAGTAAAATAGCCAAACATGGAGGATTTGCCACTTTCTCACTAGCTTCTTTGTCATACTGGGGAAACAATAAAACATCTTTTCATAAGAATGTTGCCCACATGTGCTAAAAAAATATGCTACTAGTCTAAATGAATTTTGTAGGCCCTTGATATCCTATTTTGTATTTTGTATTGAATATTATTTTTAGAGTGCAGAAAGAGCATGTATATGGTCACAGAGCATCAAGACTAAATTCTGAAAGATAATCAGGACCTGAGACAAACAGAATGAGAGGCAGAATGTCTAAAATTGTGAAAATATAACTCGTAAAATGTGTTTTCAAGTTAGAAGAAATATTTCCTCTAAACAAAGTTAAGTTATCCTAACTGGTATTATCATTTCCCAGTGACCACTTTTTAAAGATTTTGAAGAAAAATAACACATAGTTTCAGATCCATTTATTTAATAAAAGTAACATTGGCAAGTGGGCACAATTAATTTATATTATATGCAAAGTATCTCAGTTTTAATGAATGATTTTATGTAAATGAATAGACAGCCTATTATTTCATATAATGTTATCAATGGATTGGAGTGTTGCTTTGTTAATGCACTTACCTGACCAGGATATTCTAGTATAAGGAAATCTTTCATGATAACCAAAGGTAGAGAACTCATCATTCCTGAATCTAAGGAATAACTAAATTCTCCAATTACTATATCAGAGTACTGTCAGAAAAAGAAAAGCTCATTAGTTCAGCATAACTACCTGATTATCTCCACACAGTACAATCTTATTTTTTATGCAAAAATGGGTTGCATTTGGGAAAAGCATTGTTGCGTAGAAAATGTATTAAAAGAGCTCTGTGATACGTGCCTAATGTTTTTGTATTGTTGAGGAGTTTGGAAGACAGTATTATGCATACAGATGTGCTACAGATCATTAAAGATCAAGAGCTTTCAGATTGTAAAGTCAACAGGCTGATACAAAAATGGAAAGTGACAAGCAGCATCTTACTCAGAATAGGAGCTTTAAGGGGTAGAAGTAAAAGTAATATTCTAATCACTAACCCCACCCATCGAATATTCTGGTTTCCATCCTAGATTACTAAAAATTTAGTGGACACTTTAAAATTTTTATTTATAAAATCATTTATCAAATATGTCCAGAAAGTAATGTTGTATGAGAAAGGGTTTATGTCTGCATCTGTGTCAGTTTGAGAATAGACAATATAAATAAGTCATAAATATGCTTTGGTGGACTAATTTAATAACAGGATCTCTAAAAGGATAAAAAATTATGGCATTTATTGAAAATACCAGTTACCAAATTTTGACACATTTCTTTTTTCATTTGAATGCAACATTTTAAATTTAAAATGTGCATAACAGGGAAATATCTCAAGTTTAAAGATACTCTGTATTTCTTGATTTTAAATAATGTGCCCCACCATTCGAAATGGCTGAGATAAACATTTTGACATGTAGACAACATAAGCAATGTTTACCAATGAACAAAGAATATCCTGTATACGATATGCTATTCTTAATAATAAGAGAAGTACCTATTGCTAGAAAGCTCTAATGTTCCTAATTAAAGTATATAATTAAAGACTACTGAAAAAAAAGTAGTATGAATACATTATGAAATGGGCCAGTTGTTCACAGCATCAGAAGCTGGCTACCATTCGTTTGCCAGACTTTTTGACATTAAGCTTAACCCTGCTGTACTTTCTAGACCCAAAATTCTCCCTTGCCAGCAAGGATTTAATTCACGGCCAGATGGTCAGCAACAAGTTGTCATTGCTACCAATCTGGCTGTGACCATACAGGCCAAATCAAGAAATTATGCTTCTGCTTTGTTCGAAGGTACATGTCTGTAATCGCAGATCGGTCCTGGTCCCCTGGGCAAAGTTTCCCACTTAAGTTCCTCACCCTGAACTCCTGCTTTCTTTCTGGTCAGTCCCTTTTCTCTCACCAGTTTAGAGACTGCAATTAGTCCCCTAATATGTCACCCTGTTACTTCGTGCAGTTATTTTTTAGCTTACTTCTGTGGATCTCTGAACAGTGACAGCTCCTAAATTGTTCATTGTCATGCTCCAATGACCTGACTATCGGTGATTTTCTGATATCCCTCTTGGAAAGTCCCTGACATTTAACCACTTGCCTGTGCCTATACTTTGTCACAAATTCTCTGAATACCATATTCTGCCTGTTAACCCAAATTTGCCTTTTGTGGAAAAAAAATGCATAGGTTTTGCTTTAAAAAGGTACTTGGACAACATACTCAAATATCATTTTAAAAGACAGCCTCAGTCAACACTGCAAAATTAAAACAAATGGAAAAAACAAAATAGTGAAAACCTCCCTAAGAAGATGTATAATAAAATAGAATAGAAAGCTGAGGGACTACTGAAGACAAAAATTTTGAAGACACTTCACCTGACTGAAAATATAGAGCTAGACTAAGATAGACCTGTCCCAAATTCAACACATCATTTTGAATCTCTGAGTCTTTAAAGAGAAATACATTTACCCTGATCTCTCCTGTGTGTCTGTCTGCCTTGTGACTCAGAGATTTGGGATTGAAACAAATCAGAAAAGTGTTCATATATAAGAAAATTCTACTGTCCATCTGCTCCTTTAAGTGATTAGATTAAATGAAAAATAAGTGGTCAGAAGTTATATTAGAATGGATTTTCCCTGAGCTAAAAGGACTGAGTGAGTTGCAAGCAATGTTAGTGAAAATTGATCTACATTTAGTTACATTCACAAGGTAAAGTAAAAATTTAATATTCTCTGAACAAGTAATAAAGTACAAAAAATGAGATAGTTTCAAAGCTTCCTCTTTAGCAATCTTTTTGACAACAGGTTGCAAAAGAAGATAAATGTTTTCAATAGGAAAGAGTTTAGTGTGCCAAGAATTTTAGACATTGTCACAGGACCTTCAAGTATGAAGTCAGAATATTCTAATATATGCAACATTTAAAAATATTAAGGATGAAATTATCTCAAAATATGTGTAAAAACAAAGTAAAAACATGAAGCACAATTTAGAGCAACAAATTTGTGTAGTACAAATATACGGTTACAGCATATCACAACTCTGGCTTATGGAGTAGGTCTGGGCCCCAGAAGGTTCACAGCTCATATGTCTTACAGTTTATTCATTCCCACCGTCTCCATGCTTTGGAAAAAGGGGTAATGTCCCAGCTCATTCAGTCTCCTCACCTGGCTCCAGCACGTGGCTCCTGGGCTGGCCCAGCTCTGCCTCCACTTCCTGTCACATGGGACTGCCACTCAGCGCCAGTGGAGGATGGAAGATGGGAGGGCTGTGGTGTTACAGCAGCATCTTTGGCACCTGCTGTTCGGCAGGTCTCAGGTTCTTGTTCTGTGTCCAAGAAGAATGAGGACAACCGAAAAGTGAGGGAGGCAGGGAAGAATTTTATTGAGAGACAGAACAGCTCTCAGAGGAGGGGGAACCCGAAGTGGGTAGTCCCTACTGGAAGGCAGGTCCCTACTGGAAGGTAGGCATGTGTAGCTAAGTCTAGGGTTTTTATAGGCTCAGAACTGGGGAGGCCCAGGCGGTAGGTGCCTTGCAAAAGGCAACATTCCGTTGGTTAAAAAGCATTATTCAGAAAGAACCAGCTAGGAAAGAGCTGGCAAACAGGAATAGAGGTTCTCCCTCTGGTCGTGGACTCCATCCAGAACTGGCAACCTGGTTTTCAGGCTTCAGGCTGTTTTTGGGTTGAAGATCTGGTTTCACCAGGGACGTGCCCCTATCTATCTAGAAATTTGTCTGCCTACTGCCTCTAACAGAATGTTCATATATAGAAAGACCTAAAGTTGTAAAGATGTCAATTTTATCTAATTGAAATTATATGCAAGGTAGTCAGTATCAAAATCCAAAAGTAATGGCTGATGGTTCTGAAAAAATTAATTCTAAAGCTTACCTCACATAGTAAATGTGAGTTAAGCAACTTTCAGAACATTAAAAAATAATTTCCCCCCAAATTTTTAAAACATATAAAGTATGGTAATTAAAAACTTATGTTACTAGGTCAGGCACAGTGGCTCATGCCTGTAATCCCAGCTACTTGGGAAGCTCAGGCAGGAGAATTGCTTGAACCAGGGAGGCAGAGGTAGCAGTGAGCTGAGATTACACCACTGCACTCCAGCCTGGGTGACAGAGTGAGACTCTGTCAAAAAAAAAAAAAACAAAAAAACTTATAGTTCTGAAACAGTGTTATATTGGAAATAGATTGTCTTGCATCATGCCCAAATACATACATAAATGAATATCAGATGAAGACGACAAATAATGGTAAATTAGGAAATATTCAAGTGGCATAGATGTAAACAACAAGCATGGGAGCAGATACAAAAATAAATAAATAAATAAATCTCAACCTGAGTACTACCTCGTAATAGATATTAGAAAACCATACAATTGCTGCAAGATAAAATTTTGAATACATATGTAATCCTGCTGTGAGTTTTACTGTAGGAAAATGAACAAAGTGAAAGAGGCAGTAATTTATGAATAATTTGTTTATATAAAATACTTGAACATCAATTTCTAAAAAAAAATAGGAAAAGGACAATCTGGAAAAATGCTTTCAATATATAAAAAAAATAAATTTTGAAAATGTAAAATGTCCTAACAAGTCAACGTGAAAATGATGACCATAGCAGAAAAATGCACACAAGTTTTGTTCATGTAATTAGCATAAGAGAAAATTTAAAGGGACATTAAACATTTAAAAATTTTTCAATGTTTGTAATGTAAGCTCACTGTAATAAATAAATTCATTTTTTAAACATCAATGTAATGAATAAATTCATTTTTTTAAAACGACCACAATGTGTCACCTTAAGTAATGTCACTTATGTTGGCTTTGGTGTGAGCATTTTTGTACATTGTTTTTTGAGACATAAATTAGTACAATTCTTCTTGAGGGTAATGTGTATATTTCAACCCATGCATATATTTAGATCCATTATCACAGAAATTTAAACAATACAATAATTGGAGAAGTAAACAAATTAGTAACTTCAGTGCAGCACAGTTTAACATAATACTATTAACAACCTAAATACTCCGTATTGCATAATATTGAAATATACTATTCCTAAGAATATTACTACATAATTATTTTTAATTGCATAAGAAAATCTAGTTTTAATATAGGAGTATCAAAATTGTTACTTGTTATAAGAAGCAAAATACAAATAGTTGAAATATTTAAGGATACTTTCAGGTAAAAATATAAGTGGGTATAAAGTTACAGTTAGATAAGAATAAACTTTGGTGTCCTATTGCAGAGTAGGGTGACTATCGTTAACAATAATTTATTGTATATTTCAAAATAGCTAGAAGACATTTTGAATGTTCTGACTACAAAGAAATGATAGATGTTTGTAGTGATGGATATGCTAATTATGGTGATTTTATCATTACACATTTATAGAAACATCACATTGTATCCCATAAATATGTACAATTATTATGTATAAATTAAAATTAAAATTTTTTAAATAAAACTTAAAAATCAAATACATAAAGAACTTGGTGATTGATTAGGGCATGGGCTGAATAACAGAAAATAATCAGCAGTTACTTTTAGGAATCTAGACTGAGTCACTAGGCATTAAGTGAAATCAGAAATAGTGGTTAAGGCTGGGCTCACAGAGTCAGACTCCATGTCAAAAACAACAACAACAACAACAAAAAACAGTGGTTAATAAACACTTTTGGAAAAAAGTTGATGAATTCAAACAGTGTGAGATACCCAAATAGAGCTGTTAGGTAGACAAAAGTTCTTAACAGGGGCCAGATTTGGCATGACATTTCAGGTATATTAAGGACTAAGAACAATAGAAAACTATTAAAGGATTTGAAAGAGTACATGAAAATTTTACAGACTGCAAACGGATAATAGATTAGAAGAAGACAATAGTGGGACATAAAATAGAAGAAAAAAAGAAATTATAACAGTCCAATCTTGAACCATGCTAATGTCTGTGGACATTGTAAGAAATGAATAAATGGGCCGGGCATAGTGGCTCATAACTATAATCCCAGAATTTTGGGAGGGAGAGGCACGCAGATCATCTGAGGTCAGGAGTTTGAGACCAGCCTGCCTAACATGGTGAAATCCCATCTCTACCAAAAATACAAAAAATTAGCCGGGCATGGCGGCACATGCCTGTAGTCCCAGGTACTCGGGAGGCTGAGGCAGGAGAATTGCTTCAACCTGAGAGGCCAACGTTGCAGTGAGCCAAGATCATGCCATTGCACTCCAGCCTGGGCGACAGAGCGAGACTCTGTCTCAAAAAATTAATTAATTAATTAATTAATTAATTAAACAAACAAAAAAACACAAAAAAATGAATAAATGTTTAGACTCAGAAATGACAAGACAGGTTCTTTTAGTGGTTTGATGGGTATGAGAAAGGAGAAGGTGTCACAAATTATCTGTTGCACAATGTGTAAATTTTGTATGATGAATTGGATGGTGGAACTATTTCTTGCAATGATAAAACACTAGCATTCACAAATCTGGGGTCTCAAAAATTAAGAGTTTAGTTTAGCACACATTATACCCTCTTTTTCCCCCCTCCGAGACACAGTCTGGCTCTGTCGCCAAGGCTGGAGTGCAGTGGTGCCATCTTAGTGCACCACAACCTCCGGCCCTCCCAGGTTCAAGCAATTCTCCTGCCTCAGCCTCCTGACTAGCTGGGATTACAGGCATGCACCACTATGCCCGGTTAATTTTTGTATTTTTAGTAGAGATGGGGTTTCACCATGTTGGCTGGCTGGTCTCTAACTCCTGACCTCTAGTGATCCACCCACCACGACCTCCCAAACTGTTGGGATTACAGGCATGAGTCACTGCACCTGACCAAGCATATATTATACACTTTTGAAAAAAAGTGCATATATCAAAGATATAGTTGTATATATCCATGAGACAGAGAAGTGTGGTCTAGTATACAGACACATAGAAATACGTATTTAGGAGACAAACAAATAGTCTTTGTATGAATAAGAATATGTTGTCTACGGTGCATTTAGAACGTGAACAGTTGTGAACTCAGGAAAGAGTTCTAAAAGACCCGGATAGAAGTCAGTTTGAGGCAGAAGCAGTAGAGGAGACTGAGAAGGAAAGGAGAAAATGAGAATTAGAAGACTGGAGTGCACGGAAGTTGATAATGCAGATTGTTTTAAGAAAAAAAGGAGAGTTCAATTTTGTCAAATGCTGTTGATACGATCCTTTGGATTTAGTAACATGAAGACTATTGGTGAACCCAGGGACAGCTATTCCCATGCAAGAGTGAAGAAAGAATAGATAATGCTCATTCATCCTTTCATTATTTTGATAAATATTAATTGGGCTTTTTGAGGACCACAGTTAAAGCAACGAACAGACAAATAAGATTTCTTCTTGACCAAAAGTTACATTATAGCCAAGAGAGATAAACAATAGAAAATTAAAATAAAAAGACATGGTGACTTCTGACAATGAAAAATATAATGGGGAGAACAAGGCAAATAATAGATAAAGTTGTTAGTGGGAGAGCTAAGTGAGATGGGGTGATCTGGTCATGTTGAAGATCTCTGCTGCAGCTCTCTGATGAGGTTCCTCGAAAACTTGCACTGCAACTAGGACTTCCTAAAAAGGCCTGCTTACCGGGGATCTGTGCTAGAGATGGTATCCTTGACTCCTATTGTTGTCTCCAGATGCTTTGATAGTGCTAGCTTGCTGACAACATAGATGCCTGTGTGCATCTCTTCTATTGAACACCTGAGCTGTAGCTCTTCTCCAGGCGCTAAAGCAGCAATGATTTCTCTTGAGCCCTAAATGCTTTGAGACAAAGGTATGTTCTGTTTATGTTTTCAGAATGCTTGTTTGTCCTATTTTGTTCACTGTTAGAGAGACACCAAATTAGCAATGTTTTACACCCAATATCTTATAGAAATTTTTTAAAAAATAGATTTATAGCTACAACCTTCTCATTTCCTAGGACACAGAATAAAGGCCATGGTGCATTCTAGAACAGGGAAAAAATAAAATCTAGTTGCAAATAACTTATCCTCAAAAGTCACTTAATCGTAACCATTATTAAGTATTTGTTATGTAGCTGAGTTGTTATTTAGCAGAATTGGGTTGGCTATCTTCTCTGCCTGAAGATTATTTTCTCTATCTCTCTGAAAGTTCCTTGATAAAATGATATCCCCAATGAGCAATTATTACTAGTTTCCAAGACAGTAAACATAGCTTAGACTCAAACTTAGATTGCAACTATACAGCAAAAAGATAATCTGTTGAAGGATGTAATTGCAGTGGTCAAAGAAGGAAAAGAAAGAAAAAAACAAAACGATAAACAATGAACCTTTCAACGACATGAAAGCAATAGGTGGCAAATAAAAACCAGGATTCAGCAGGGGCTTATAACTTAATATCCATGAATACATAACTACAAAGTACCTGCATAGGAAAAAATATTTTCTATAAACTTTTAATGAAATTTAGTAATTCTTTTAACTAAGTATATAGGCAAAAAAAGAGTACAATTAAGAGCACCTGTTACTACTTTGTTACTAATAGAAACAGTAGATAATTTTATGTCACAAAACAGTTGATTCAGAAATCTCAAAATATTTACACTAATCACTACTTTGAAGTTATGAAAGTTATTGCAGCTGGCACTAGATCTGTTGATTAATTGCTTTTAGAAAGCAAATGCATTACTACATAAAATGTATTATAAACATTTTATAATTGTCAAAATGATTTATTTTCATCATATATTTTTATTTTAGACATTCTGGGTTCTGTGACAGCTTGACCAGTAAAATACAGTGGAAGTGATTCTTTGATTTAATTTCCTTATCCAGGCCTTAAGAAGCTGGATTCTAATTCAAATATCAATATTCTCATAGTAACTAAATGTGCTATAGGTAATATGTAGGTATTTGATTTCATTTTATTTTTTGATATTAATAAACAATTATTGTAGCACCATCCACTAAACGGTCTTTCCTTTCTCCCTACTGAATTATATTTTTTCTCCCATTTGTTGGCTGGAAGTCACAACCCCTATGACCTTGGAAGAAGCTAACTGGGTCCTTTGATGACTGCTTGATGCATAACACTCAGCCTTCCCTCCCTATCACTACCTTTATCTGAGTAAGAAAAAAAAGTCTCTATTGTGTTAAGTCTCTGAGATTTCACCTTTTACCTATTAACAGTCATTAGTGTTAGATTGACTTACGTGCTGTTGAGTTCTATGCAGAAAATTTTCATTTTCATTTTACATGTTGAATCCAAAGAAGTGGTCTATAATTATCATTTTATCTTTATGTTGTCCAGTTATAATATCAAGTGTAAACTGGCACCCAAAATAAGTTGAATATATTTCTTTCCTTTTTAATTATCTTAAACATTTTGTATAAAGTATATATTATCTAGTTTTTTTTTAAGGTTTGGCAAGATCGTTATGAGGCTTTACTCCCTACTCTTTGGAGGGAGTAGGGATTTTTTAGTACTTTTGATCACAAATCCACTTGAGATTGCTTTTAAATATTATGAAAACTATGGATCCTTTAATTAGTAAACCATTGCATAAATACATATTTACTGAAAAGTTTTGCACTAAACTTTGTGTGTCCCTTTATCAGTTAATTGAATCAAGTTTATAAACCACTTACTTCAGCACAATGTTAACCATGGGTCAGAATGCTTATCATCCCTTATCAAAAATTTCCTTTATCCTTTTGTGCTGTTTTCTCCCTGGACTTTTATAGTGTTAATAGCTATAATTCAAATTCATTTAAATACTCCAGTTCTGACTTTCTTCTATCAAACTTGTTTTAATGTGAAAAAGTGCCACCAAGAGATATGTTGAGTAATTAAAAAGTTATCACCATTAGAAGGAGCAGTGAGTCACAAGTGAAGTTACTGTCATTGTAGGTTTAAAATAAGAAACTGTAATAAGCAAAACAAAAATCCTATTAAAATTAGGTAAGCAAAAGTAAACAAAACAATTTGTTTTATATTAGGACTTTATTCCTTTGAATAGAGTCAATAATTTAGTGACTTAAAATGGCTATAATCATTTTTCATATGCATTTAGATAAGGTAAATCACCCTAATGTTTATATAGAGCTGGTCAAGTTCGAAGGGCATTTGTGCCCATCTATTTCCTGCATTTACTTTATCCCTTCTTCTTCATGCATACACATGCACCATAACAGTGCAACACATCATGGATAGCTAATATCTGAGGGCCCATTAACATGCTGCTTATTTCTTGGCTAGGAGAATTGTTGGTGAGCCACATGTCATATTTTTTGGCCTCTAACTTTGTTTTCAGGCAACATCTACTACACAATGTTTGCCAAATAGCCTGAAGAGGTAGCAACTGACGCTGGGAACTGGCCCCGCATCTTTCTTATGGCAATAAAAAATGTTGCTAATGAATTACTCTTTAGGCTCCTAAACAAGAACTGAATTCATAAGATTCTCCAAATACCTATATTAGAATTCCTCACATGCCTAGACCATACTCTAGTCACTTGATAGATCCCTGACAGATTTGCCCTTTCTGAAACTGCTCCCTAGACATGTGTCCACCTCTTTAAGCAAACAGAAGTAATAAGCAAACATGCTTTTGAGCCATATTTCCAAATGGGACTTAAGATGAAGGATTCTTCTCTTATTTTTATCTCCATTTGGAAATGATCTCTGTAACATTACCTTTCAGTTCAAGTGTGTGAATGTGCCATGGGGACTGCTATAATGCTAGTCACTTGAAACAGAGGACATTTTTACATGGTACTTGAAAATTTTATATTCAATGGAGAAGTGAAATTGAGAACCAAAATCATTTGTACATAGCTTTGAATTTTCTACATTCATTTTCTCTTTTATAGTGAAAAGCAACCCTAGGTAATAAGAAGCGTTAGAGAGAATGCAATTTACTGCTAAATCTACTATTTGTAGGACGTATGTAAAACTGACTGAGGGGGACAGATGCTTGGTTTTTATTCCCCTCTTTACTACTAACTTACTTTACAACCTTTATCCATGCAATTAACTTCTTTATTCTTGATTCATCTAATTTAACTGTAATGGCCATTATGAAAATTACAAAAATATGTATTTATTTTTTTCATACTTAGCCTTTAGTGTTTCCAGCCCATGTAAATAAATTGTTACAAGACATTATTATGATAAAGATTATATCTTCTGTCCAAATATTATGTCTCAGTTTCCCTCTCTATCTTTGAGGTTATTCAATCAAATGCTCTCCAAAGCTGTAGAGGGGAGAAAGGACTATTTGATTTCATCTGCGATATGGACTAAATTAGACTAGTTTATTAAAATTGCGAGTCATAGCAGAATTGAAAAATAAGTTTCACAGATTACAAGCAATATTTAAAAAAAAAATTACCTGATTTTTTTTCAGTAATATATGTATTTACTGAGGCACAATGTAAAATGCCTTCATTATTATGGATTGAGATTATAAAATTATTTGATAATCTGCTATTTAGACTCTATATTTGATATTATTGAATCTACTAGTTCTTTATTTACTTTTGTTTCCTAGATTAAAGTCATTTTTATTGACAAATTTTAAACCACTTTATTTAGCTATGATTACCATACAATAAACCATACATGTTTAATGTATACTGCTTGATGAGTTTGTATATATCCATGAAACCATCACCACAATCTATGCCATAAACCTATCCATCACCTCGAAAGGTTTCCTCCTGCTTTCTTGTTTATTAGTTTTTTTGTGTGTGTGATAAGAACATTTGGCATAAGATCTGCCTTCTTAGTAAATTTTTAAATATACAATACAGTATTGTTACCAATAGGAGTACATTGTACAGTAATTCTCTAGGATTTCTTCACCTTACGTAACTGAAACTCCATATCTTTTGACAAAAACTTCTGTTTCTCCTTTCCTCCAGTTCCTGGCAACTGCTATTTAACTCTCTGTTTCTGTAAGTTTAACTATTTTTAGATTTGTTATATAATGGTAGCATGTAGTATTTGTTTTTCTGTGTCTGACTTGTTTCACTTAGCCTAATGTTTCCAAGATTCATCCATGTTGTCACAAATGGTAGAATTTTCTTCTTTTTCAAGGCTAAATACTATTCCATATACATATACTATGTATATGCCATATTTTATTTATCCACTCATCTGTTGATGGATATTTAGGTTGTGAATAATACTGCAATAAACATGGGAGTGCAAATATCTCTTCAAAATAATGAAGTCAGTTCCTTTGGATAAATACCCAGAAGTGAAACTGTTATATCATATGGTAGTTCTATTATTAATTTTTTCATGAAACTCTATACTGTTTTTCATAATGACTTCACCAATTTATATTTTCACCAACAGTATATAAAGATACCCTTTCTTCACATCCTCATCAACATTTGTGCTTTTTTATAATAGCCAGCTTAATATGTATGAGGTGATATTTCATTGTGGTTTTGATTTACATTTTGTTGATATTAGTGATCTTGTGCACTATTAGTGATGCTGACTAAGAATCCCATTTGGTAATTTATATTTCTTCTTTGGAGGAATGTCTATTCAGTTCCTTTGCCCATTTTTAATGTGGTTACTTGTCACAAAGCTACAGTAATTGTGACAGTATATTACTGGCATTAAACAGACATATAGATCACTGGAACACAATAGAGAGCCCAGAAATTAAACCACTTCTATACGGTTAACTTAGATAAGTGTGCCAAGAATGACAATGGGGAAATGATGGTTTGTTCATCAAATGATGTTGGGAAAACTAGATATCCACATGCAAAATAAAGAAATTGAACCCTTATCTTACATCCTACACAAAAATCAACTCTAAATGGATTAAAGACTTAAAGCTAAGACTAGAAACAATCAAACTTCCAGAAGAAAACATTGAAAAATCTTGACATTGTCCTTGGAAATGATTTATTGGATAAAACACCAAAGGCACAAGCAATGAAAGCAAAAATAGACAAGGGAACTATCTCAAACTAAAAAGCTTCTGCACAGCAAAGCAAACAACAGAATGGAAAGACAACCTACAGGATGAGATGAAATATTTGCAAAAGATATATCTGATAAAGAGGTAATATCCAAAATATATAAGGAACTCCTACAACTAAATAGCAAAAATAAATAATAATTATAACCCAATTGAGTGACAGTCTTAAACCTTATTTTTTAATATTGTATTCGAATATATATTATCCCAATCTAATCATGAAGAAAACATCAGAAAATTCCAAATTGAAAGTAGTTTTATCCAAATGGTAAAACTGATTGGTACAATAATTTTGCCTAAATATTTCGAAAATAAGAGCTTGTTGTCTCTTTGGAAAGAGATTTCACATGGGGTAAAATGTTTTTCCTCTAGTTTCATAGCCATTAGTATTTACTTATATTAATGATTATTAGGTGACTTGGAGGTCTAGTGGGTAGCAGCTTTAACACATGAGTACTTGACTAATCCTCTAATAGGAGCAGAGGGCCTCAGAAGTGACCAGGCAGATGTGAGATTCATTATTCACATAGGATCTGATTAAGCAGATCATCTTTCTTTCAGAGTATGAAAGGAATGTTGTTATTAGGGCTGATTTGCACTCTAACTCCTACCAATTACCTTACTAATTATGCCTGTGGGCCACAAAGTGTCAATATGTTCTAAAGATACAGGAAAAGCTTTTTCACTTAGTTTTATTGGCAAGATCTTTGAGTTGAGTTTGTGCATCTGTGTATGTGTGTTTGCGTAATCATGGGTGTGATGTATCTCAGAGTTAAGCTTATATCATTAGGTTCTCTGGAAAAAATGATATTTTCTTGGAGACAAAAGTCTTTGAATGATCACTTAAAGGACATACTTTCCTTGGAATCCTCTTCTTTGTTTTAGTACAAGTTTGAGTTTCTCAGTAATAGAAACTTGAGTGAAATTAGGAAAGTGGAAGCGAAGTGATAAACATTAAGGTAGGGCTGTTCCATTGCTGGTCAGGCGTGATGCTTGGTGTCCTCTATGACTTTCAGTTCTGGGAAAAAGAGAAGAAGGCTTGTCAAAAGTCCCTGGGGTTGGTGGTTTCCTTCCTACCTGCCTCAGCCTATGCTTCAGCTGACAGCATTAGAGACTCTTTCCAGTCCTTTAGCTCTAGTTTACCTATTTTTGCTCCCCCAGTTTCTGCCAGATACATGTAAACTGAAATCCCTATATTTAGACCCTTTATTCCTGTAATTCTATTTTTCTAAGAAAGCAGAATAAAATTATCCCTGAAATTAGCAATAGGGGAAGTAATATTAGGCAAAAATAATGTTATTCATACTATATAGCAGATAAATTGAAATCCAAGGAAATTACAATCTCAGAAATATTACAAATCAAAACTAATTTTTATTATTGATTGTGTTAGAGTACCTTTTTCTGATATGAAGAAATTCTCAATTTTTTGATAATATTAGCTTGTACCATCAAGCTGGATTTGTAGATCAAAATGGTTGAAGGCTGGCAATTTCATGTAGCTCAGTCTAATAATTTATATCAATCAGGAAGAAATAATTATTTTTTATAGGTGAAGGTAGATTAACATTTTCTTCTAGATAGCACTCAAGTGGGAAATAAGTACATGGGGAATGGTGTTCAAAAGCTATGAAGAGTGTACTTGAGTGGAACATTACTGACCAAAGAAGTTAAAAAAAAAATAAAAACTGAGAGAAAACTTTGATAACTAAAGTCTTTTCCAATTTAAAAGTGTTTTCTTGCTGTCAAGCCTGAATGATTTCCCAGAATGTAAGAGCATCATATGATTTTGGAAGAAATTGTATTAATGCTATTTTTTTGATTGGTAAAACTGTGTTTATGTGAGATTCCACCTTTCCATTCACTAAGCAAATAACATTATAATGGGTTCTGAAATTAATTAATGTGTTTCTAGCCCATGCACATATTTAGGAAGAATGAAGAATTTGGCTTCTAAATAACATACTCCAGTATAATTTTTAGCATATATTTAAGAATGACCTAAAGGACACTTATGTTAGAGTACTCATTGTTGTATTAAAATACAAAAACTGAATTTAGTTTCATGTTCAATTTTCCTTTCTTCTAATTATCCCCAGGAATAACAGATGTTTAAAAGGACAATTTCAGAAAAGTTTCTTCAGCTACAATCAGTGTGAGAAGTCTGGCAGGTGTTTATTTTTAAAAGTGGTGAGATTAATGTACTCTGTGAATAATGTAATGAGGTATGCTAGGAAGATTTCTTATAAGTCAAGAGAGAGAAAAAAAGTAAAACACAGTTAGAATGTAAAACCTCTCCTATAATTTGTAATTCATTTATAAAATCCAGAGTCATTGCAATGATTCAAAGCAATATAGTCAGACTAAATGCTTTATTTGGTGAATTTCTGCTAGATAGCAATGCTAAAACTAGGAAAGAAGCAAGTGCATGCCTTTTACCACATTATGAGATATATTTTCTGAATGTTTAAAATGCTTTAATTTGTAGGATTGGTTCGATTCCACCATTTTCATGATTTATATATATCATAAGCTTTACCTTTAGTCAAATGTGAACTTGTACAATTGAGTCTTTCATTTTATACTCAGATGCTTTGAAGTCCACAGATCTAATAATTCTCGTAGCTCCTTTGGAATTTTCAGTTTGGGAGGAGCTCAAAATTTACAGATAAAGTGATTAAATAATAATGATTACATGTAAATATAATTAACATATATAAACATAATTTTGATCCAATCTTTAATAATTAAACCTCTTTCTTCCAAAATTTTTAAACTTTTGTCCTTTATGTTTTAAAATATATCTAAAGAATATTTCCAGGTACCTATTCTGCATCTCATTTAATTATTTTACATATGAAAAATGGAAACTACATCTTAAATAGCATTTAAAAATAAAATGTATGAACCCACACAGTAGGTAGTCCAGATTTAGGCCAGTCTCCTGGAATGTTTGATTTGGCTTCTAAAAGATGTTATGAAGGGCTAAGTTTATTTCTGTGCCCTTTCTCTGCCACTGAAGATTACAGTCATCATAAGGTCAGTTCTCCTCATAAACATGAGATGTCTGTTAGCAGAAATTGTGATACCCAGCATCCTTGTTCACATCAAATGGAAAAGACTGGATTAACTTTATAAAAAGTCCAAAGCAAATATTTAGTTGCATTTCATGGTCCAAATTTGTCAAACTTGTCCATCTCCAAACTAAGCACTGACAAAGTTGAAAACATCATCATGACTTAGACTGATTGACTTAGAATACCTATTTCACAGGGAATATGTGATGGTTACTCAGTCATAATGGCTATGATATACTCTCCAAGCTGGTTTTTAATAATTAATGCCAAGATTAGTTTTAGTAAAATAGTTTTGTCATTTTTATGTTTACAGTGATTATTTGAGGAATATACTTCCATTAAAACTGAGACCAAATTATGGTCTACAACTTCAGATGGACTCTTAATTACCATTTGGCTATCCTCTTATGTATTCCAATTTAGCATCTTCTCCTATTTCTAACCACAACTATGGCAAGTCTTTCCTAATCTCCTTCATTGCTGGTGCCAGCAATGTCTAAGTACTTCCTGTGAAACAAACAAAAGCTACAAGGTAAACAAACCTATTATAGTATCATCTCAAATTTCAATACATGAGAATGCCAGGAAGATGGGAGAGACTCAGCATCTACAACTAGAGTGACTCCTGAGTGAGAAGTGACTTGATTTTGCAAGTAGTCTTCAAAAATGGAGAGGCATTTTTTGGAGACAAGAGAACTCCAGTAGGAGGGGCCCATAATGAATATAATATTTCCACGAAAGAACCTGTTGCGAATTTCACTGATGGGTGAGATAGAATGACTTATGGAAGACCAAAATTTCCTTGAAAAAAAAAACTAGAGAAGTTATATTAAATAAGAAAAAAATAAGTACATATTTCAAGGTTTCAGAAAACTATTAAAATGCCTTGGACTAACAAGATAAATATTACAAAGGGTGAAAACCCACAGAAAAGTGATGTCTTAATCTGATATTGAATTTTCCCTAAGCGAATTTGAATTTTTCACATGTGAACATAAGACTATGATATGAACTTTTCCCTGAAAAGGGCCACTGAGAGACAAAATTGGAAATAGGAGAAGCCCCAAACACATGCTCCCTTAACACAGTTGCTGAAATCTGAATATTCTTAGGGAAGGAGACTAAAGGGCCAAGTTTAAGTCCTCTAAGAAGTAGAGCAGAGTTTTCATCGAATTTACAGAAAATAAGAAGATTAAACTTATAACGAATAGAGTAAAATGATGTTAACATTTCAAAGTATCAGTTGAAGAAAGATGAGGCACAGTAGAAGACAGGATCAGTGAACAGGAAAACAATTCAGTAGAAAATAGGCAACCTAAAGCATAAACAAAAATTATAAAATGATAAAAATTATAAATGTTATTAGAAAAAGTTCCTAAAAGAAAAATGAGTAATGAAAGCTTTGAATATTTCCAATTAAAATCTCTGAAAAATAGGACAGAGGGAGTCAGGAAGATACAATCTCTGAACTGATAATACTTCGGAATTTCTAAAAACTTATGAGAATATTAACCTACTTATGAGAAAAGACCCGTAAACCCATAAGAACATATACAAAGAACCTACACATAGACCTTTCAGAGTTAAACTGCTGAAAATTAAAGACAAAGACAAGTTCCAGACAAAGGTAGAAGAGAAACACACCACTTCCCTGCTTTTCCCATTCTGCCTTTCAGCTTGCCACAAGCCCAGCTGGATAAGGAGACACGGGTTGGGTTAAATTAAGTTTAACTCCAATTCTGTTTAATAATTTAATATCTTTCCCTGAACATTCTTATACTCTTATGGGAACTGTTTACAATTAACTCTTATTACAGGAAAATATTTGTTATATAGGAAATAGAGCAGCAGAGTTACAGGTCTGCTCGAGCTCTCCTTTAGGAACTACAGAATGTAGTCTCCAGCGATATATTTTGAAGAAATTAGAGTAGAAAACAAAAGCTCTGTATTATCATTTCTCAGAAGATGTTAGCTAAATGTACTGATTCCTTGAAAGTGTACCAGTATATTTTATCTCTTCAAAAAAGATTCTCACTTGGTATTCTACATTATTTCATTATTAAATTCTTCCTCTATCACTCAATGCATTTTGTCTGGCTGAATTCTCACACAAGGTCAAGACTACACACTCTCACATCACTCCATCTGGCCTAGACTGTTTCTTTAAATTTCAAAAACACATATATAATTGTCCTTCCACCTGGCTAATATCTTATCCATCTCACTAAAAACCTGAGATTAAGGCTACAGTCTTTCCACTACCTTTCTCTTACTCCTACCTCTACATATTCCTGTACCCTACTCTCTTTCTGTTCTGGTATTTTATCAATCATTCCATCATGTTGCTTTTTTCTTCCTAAATATGTTTTTTTGATTTTTCATTTCTACTTGCAGCCACTCTTTTAGCTGTAGTGCTACTTAGCTCTTTCTTGTCTTGTCCCAATAACTTCCTAATTGCTCTTTTTGCCTCTGGTTTTATAAAGCCTGGTGTGTATGTTGTCAATATTTGATATTATCAGGATTTTAAAAAATTTGGCCATGTCACTTTTAATGGTTAAAAACCTGCAGTGTATCCAAAAGAAATAAAAGACAATATATCCAAGAGATATCTGCACTCTCATGTTTATTGCAGCACTATTCACAATAGCCAAAATAAGGAATTGACATAAGTGACTATCAACAGATGAGTGGAGAAGGAAAATGTGGTAGGTTTACATAATGGAATAGTATTCAGTCATAAAAAAGAATGAAATCCTGTCATTTGCAGCAAAATGCAATTAGCTGAGAGTCATTATGTTAAATAAAATAAGCCAAGAACAAAAACACAAATATCAAATGTTCTTACTCATATATGGAAGTTTAAAAAGTGGAGCTAATAAAGATAGAGAGTTGATTGGTGGTTACCAGGAGATGCCAAGGAGGTGAGGATCAATGGGGGAAAATATAAATGTATTTATTATTAAAGGTGGTCATTTATGTACATATAGTTTATCTCAATTTAAAAAATCTAAAGTAGTTGTAAGAAACAAATCTTTTTATAATCATCTTCCTGGTTTCTATCCTCATGTCACATAAATATAGTCATGCTTCGGGATTGGTTCTAGGACCAAAATCTGCAGATGCTCCAGTTTCTGATATAAAATAGTGTAGTATTTATAGCTGACTATATACATCCTCCTGTACACTTTGTCATCTCTAAATTACTCAAAATGCCTAATATAATGTAAATAATATGTAAATCGTTTTTATGCTGTATCATTCAGGGAATGATAACATGGAAAAATGTCTCTACATGTTTAATATGGACACAATTTTAAAAAATAGTTTTGATTCACACTTGGTGGAATCTACGTATATGAAAAGTTGACTCTATTTGTTAAATTGAATGTATTAATAATGTATGTTATCTATTGCTCTAGGTGTATGTATATGAAAGAAATGGAAAAAAATGACAATGATGATGAATTTAAGGGTCTAAATTTCCATCAAACAACTTTTGGAACTCTTATATTCAGGGCATTTTTCTCTAATTAAAACCTTTTTATATAGACACATTTTGGTTACAATTCACATTTGAATACAACACTAAGTGATTGATTCATAAAATGTATAATGTTTGTTTTAAACTGCCTTTTGAACAGAGGATATGATTCAGTCTGAGTCATTCATACTTTCTCTGTGAGCCCTGGATGGACAATGACATAGTTCTGTACAATGGCTGAGGTGCTATCTCTTGTCCCTAAACAGACCAGATGAGATGAACTATTCTTGAAAATTAATATGTTATTGGTCACTAAGCCATACTTCCATAATTTACTAAATTGATGTGATAAACGACACCTTACTTATATAAAAGTTCTAATGCATTTCAAAAGTATGCAATATTTTCTAGCCACTGATTTATTCATGCAGCACCAAATCTATCAAACAATATATAAACCTCCTTATTTTGTATGGAGAGTTGTATGAAATTGAACAATGGTGTATACAATAAGCAAATTGTAAAAAAATGAGAGAAAGCATGTTTCAAAAAGGAAAAAAAAATCCATAGTTCATCTTGACTCTTTAGAAAAGTCCAAAATAAACAAATCTGATCTATTTTTTTCTGAAGAACATTAATATCTAATATTTTTTGAGCATTTACAATATGCCAGGTATTTTCTCTTCTAGACATTATTTATTCATTCATATCCACTAAATGAGTGTTTAGAGAACCCCTTCTATGTGATTCCAGTGGTGAAAAAAATAATAGACCTTGTCCATCTGTAACTTACGTTCCAGTGAAAATTATCTCATTTAAACGTTAGAACAGCATAACAGCTTAGTATCTAATATTGGCTTCCTTGAGAGAAACCGAGGTTTAGGCTAACATGATAATTTACCTGTGGCCACAGGTGGCAGTTATATAGGAGCTGGGTCTGAATAGTTGGGTCTTTCTTAACTCAGAAACCCCAGCATTTAACCGCTACTCTCTATTGCCTACATATAAAAGTGTATAAAATGTTACACAGTTATTATATAAATTCAACTATCAATATTACAACCATGAGATTAGTCTTTCAAAAGTAAAGAACAGGCTCTACTAATCAACATGAGTTAGATGCTAACGTCAAACATAATTTCATGTAAATAGTATTACCCAAATAGATTACCTTTGAAAATCCGTTCAAATGGATCTACATTGAGACTGTCTCTCAATATGTAATTAGAGCCAGGTTTTTCTTGTTTAGTTTGTTTTGTTTGGGGTTTATATTAGTTTCCTCGGGCTGCCATAACAATGTACCACAATGTGGGTGGCTTACAACAAGAAAAATTCATTCTCTCACAGTTCAGGATTTCAGAGCCCCAAATTAAAACGTTTACAGTGTTGGTTCTTTCTTGGGAGCTCAGAGGGAAAATCTGTTCCAAGTTCTCTCCTAGCTTCTGGTGGCTGCTGGCAATTCTTTGAGTCCCTTGGCTGATGTCAGCATAACTCCATGTCTTAAATTTGAAAATACTACTTATCAATGTGTCACAGGCTTTGAGTCAGGATTCTCTAATACTTTTTTTATGTTAGTCCTAAATGTTTCCTAACATTTTTCTCACACCACAAAAGGTACAAAAGCATATGACTACTGCTTAAATAGGAACAAAAGATGTAACATTGGCACAGGCTCCATTGAAATGTACACAGAAAGTAAAAAGTGAAAAGGCTCAATGTCAATGCTTACCTCTCCAACAATATAGAGAAATCCTGAAACCACATCTGGAAGCTACATGGGGTTTCACTGAAGAGTGAAAGATGATGATAGATTGAAAGTGAGTTTCATTGTTTGAAGTAGGGTATTCTAGGCAATGATGACTGAGGGGGAAAAAAGGAGTGTCATTATCTTTGAAAGGAAAAAGTAGAGATATCATTTTCTAGTTAAGTGTATTCAGTTTGTATGAAACAGTATCCAAAAACTGATTTTAAGTTAGCCCATTGTCTTATGAAACCTGCCTCTTTATTCTCAGGGGTGCCATCAAACAATATATGAAATTGAAATTAAGTACACTTGTTTATCCAAACTTGTAGCTTAATGGGGTGAAAGGAAGAGGAACATGGCTTATCAATGGCTATGTATCATTACTCTCAAATGAAAAACATGCAAATTATACATTGTCCTGATAATAGACTATAATCAGAATGGAATTAAAAATGTAACTTACCTCACTGGACCTGTGACTTCATGGATAAAATGTTCAGTTATGGATCAATATGCTGCGATCAATCCCTTGACACTATTTAATTAAAGCATAGAATTCTGGCCAGAATTTATGTCTCTAAATTAAAACACATTACAGATTAACCAGTGCTATACAAATCCAAACACCTATGTAAGACATGGCTGAGCACATAATGACCCAGACACTTGCCTGCTTCAATCCTCGCACCCCAAATGAGCAATTCACTACCATAAAAAAGCTTCCAGATTGTTCAGAGAGAGACAATGATGCCAGGTCTCAAATTAGCCTGTGTGGAGATTGGTTTTATCATGTCCCACATAAATCATCCAGAGTTGCAAACAAAGCTTTAAGAAACTCGAAAAAAATGCTAGTTAATATAAAAAAGGAATGTGTTTATCATTATATTATCAGATGTAGTGTTAGTTGAATAGTAATAGTCACAAAATAATAATTTAATGATGATAATAATAAAAAAATTTATCTTCAGTGTGTCAATCCAATTTAACCTTTAGTTAAAGGTCATTTAAAATATATATAAAATGAAATATATCTACTTCAGAGTTTGATATTAGTTTTCCCAGCATATTGATTTCTTATATCTCAAAATGGAAATTTCTTGAAATTTTGCACTATTTATAATGCACACGATGATAGAACAAGAGTCATTGATATAAGTTATGGTGGTAGAGTATCTCATGTTGGCAGATATAGTCTTCTGTAAATATTTCTATTACATAGTTCTAATTACACAGTCCTAAGTTCTTTTACATAGCAATAGTTCTTGATAATAAGCTGATATATATGACTTACAAATCAACTTGATTTTTATCATATAAAATAAGGATTTTTTTGAAATTTAAAATAAAATAAATTCTGATATTTGGACATTTTTTAGTGGTTAAAAAGTCAAACTGTTTCTCACATATCTGCTAGGTACAATGCTCTCTTTAATGCATTTAATGCAATAGTATTTGGGTAACTAAAAAAATTAGAAATTGAGTTTAAATGAATACAATAACTTTCGGGAGACTTGAGAGTAAAATAAATATTTTCCCTCATGAATTAATTCTGCTTCATGTGCCTAGCTTTCTTTTACAAATATGATACATAAGCTTTATCGCTATTCCATATTTAGTAAAAGAACCACAAGCCAAGGCTGGGCCCTGTGGTTCAGGCCTGTAATCCCACCACTTTGGGAGCCTAAGGCGGGAGGATTGCTTGAGGTCAGAAGTTCGAGACCAGCCTGGCCAAGTGGTGAAACCCCATCTCTACTGAAAATACAAAACTTAGCCCAGTGTAGTAGTGCATACCTGTAATCCCAGCTATTCGGGAGGCAGAGGCAGGAGAATCACTTGAACCTGGGAGGTGAAGGTTGCAGTGAGCTGAGGTCACGCCCCTGCACTCCATCACTCCATCCTGGGCAACAAGAGCGAAACTCCATCTCAAAACAACAACAAAAACAACAGCAACAACAAAACCCCACAATCTTTACTTAACCTATTTATAGTGAAAACAATTTTGTCACTTTATGCTTTCCCTCTGAAGTCTTGAACAAACTGAATCAACTTTTGTTTATGTTAAGCTGATTTTAGCATAAGAATGTTTCTGGTTTAACAATAAAATCTGATTCATTACATACTCCTTATTTGCAGTTGTTACAATGGCACAAAATTGAGCTTTTTTGCTCCTTGAACTTTTGTTTATTAGCTAAGCAATGCTAATGCTCATTCATAGTATTTGCATTCAGTTTATCAGGTATATGAGTTGCTGGTACCTTTAAAAATATTTATTATGAAATATGTCAGAGATGTCAACATTACATAAATGTACATTAAAATGGAAAATCATGCATTGACCATTTATGCAACCAACATCCAGGTTAAGTTAGAAAACATTCCCATCAACCCTATATCCCTTCATAATCACATTTCCTTCCTAACCCCTTGAGGTTAACATTGTCTTGACTCTTATTGTATTCACTTTTGTAATTTCCTTTATAGTTTTACCTCCCATATGTGCATCATAATAGAGCAGAGTTTTTCCTCTTTATGTATTTTTAATCAAAAAACATCATACTAAATACATTTTTTTAGTGTGCTTCTTTGGCTCAATATTTTTTTAAAAAATGAATCCATGGTGTTGAATTTAGCTTTGGTTTGATTAACTTCTTCACTGTAAAGCCTTCCATTTTATAAATATATAGAAGTGTATCCATCCTATTGTAAATAAATATTGTTATTTTTAATTTGGGACAATTATTAATAATCCTGCTACAAGCATCTCTATGCATGGGTCCTGATATGCTCCTATGGGCAATTCACTCAAGGCTGGAATTGTTTGTTTATCGGGTATGGATACTTTCAATTTCAGCAGATAATACCAGAGTATTCAAAATGATTGTAAAAATGTACACACAAACCAGTTGCATATAAAGAGTCCCATTGCTCCATGCATTTTATAACACATGGACTTGACAGATTTTCTAAGTGATTATTAAACACATTCCCAATTTTTCATATGATGCTGTGGTTATTTTAAATTTTATTCTGTTTTGAGGTTCTCATTCAAGAGTTTTGATAATTTTTTAAATGTGGTTTTTTTTTCCTTAAAAATAAATAGAAGTTCTGTAAATATTCTAGATATGAATTGCTCATCAATCATATATGTCAAAGTGTGTCTCCTGTTTTGTGACTTGTCTCTTCATACTTTTGTGGTTTCCCTGGAAGAAAAAAGCCCTTAATTTGGATCTAGATAAATTTCTCAATTACTTCCTGTATATGTCATAGGTAAAAAACTTTCCCTACCCAATTTGGTGAAAATATTGTATAATTTGTTTCTTCTCAAAAGCTTTAAAAACTTTAATGGCAAAGTTTTATTTCATGAAATACAGCATACATGCAATGTAACACATAAATATTTAGTATACAGCCTTATCAAATTTTGCAAACAAGTTCAACTATGTAATCACTACTCAGATCAAAATATAGAACATTAACAGCATACTAGAAACTTTGTACACCCTCTTTTCCAGCCAACAATATCCCAAATGTAACTGTTTCTGACCTTCAACAAAGTTGTTTTGCATATTTTAAAAATTTGTATAAATGAAATCATATAGCATACATCTCCTTATTACTAACCTCTTTTGCACATTATGTATTAGAGATATATTCATGCTATTGCATGTAGCTCTAACATGTTCCTTTTCATTGCTGTGTGACTTTCTACTTTCCGTTTATTGAAAAATACAGACAATGCATGTCTTGTACTGTAATTGACATATGAGTCAGTCCCGGTTTAGGGCTGCCATGAACATTCTTATACATATTTTTGATGCACATATATTTTTGTTTTTGTGGCATAGACCTAGAAATAAAATCACTAGGGTATGCCATTGTTCAGTTGGAGAAAATACTACTAAATTGTTTTAAAAATGTATTTTACCTTGTTGTGCTAAGGATTTGGTGAGCTTCTTGACTCTGGACTGTTGACACTATTGATTCTGGAACATTCTCATTTTATATTCAAGCATTGTTTTGAATTATTCCTTCTATCTGCTTCTTCTGAGACTTCAGTGATGTAGATTTTTGAATCGCTTACTGTATTTGTGGTTTTATTATCCTCTTTTCTCTAATTTGAGTCTTCTTGTTTCTCAATATTGTATTTTGAGTCCTTCTTAGATCTATTTTCCAGTTGGTGGGTTCTTTCTCTAGGTGTGTCTAAACCGCTCATACATACAGAATCTGCTTTCAAAACTATTTAGTAGTGAATTTTTTTTCCTGTTACTATCAGTTTTTAGTAGTATCTTTTTTTATGTTACTATGGGTTAACGTACAGGTACATTTTCCCAAGAATTTCTACTTCACTCTTATTCAAATATACTATGTCAGATTTTATAGATTTTTATTTTGTGCTAAAATTTTATGCTTTTTAGAACTCTGTATGAGCATGGTAAAATTTGTATGTGTTTGTGTGCACACGTGTGTATGTTTGTGTGCATTTAATTTGTAGCTGAAAATGCTAAAACTGAAGTCAATTGTTGGTCTATTTTTGAATTCTCTCCAGGTTTTGCTATGTCAGTCTTTTCTTTGTTTGTTTTGTTATTTTTGAGTATTTGTAGTACATTGTATTAAAAAATTCTTTAGAAACTTATATGCCTCATATAAAGCATTTTAAAGTTCTGGGCCTACATCTCCAGGGTCCTATATTCTTTTAACTTTGACCCAATGTTAATTTTTAAATCTTTAAATTTTTTTAAATTAAATTTTTAAATTTTTAAATTATTTAATTTGACCCAGGTTCCTCACTATTTTGATAGTTTTTTGATGCTTTAAAGGTTATTTTTATTACATATTTTGCTCATTTCTTAAATTATTCCCAGAGAGAGAATTATTACACAATATTTTCTCAAGAGACATTAAAATTATGACTGCCAACTTTTACCAGGACAAAAGAAACACACATATTTATATCTGGTGGTTGTGATATCTTGATTTTTTTTTGTTTTCTTTTGTTATTACATAGGATTGACTCTTTGATATATATGTTACTCCCAAAGTACAACTTTGGATATAAAATATTTATAAAATACAAAAGAAATGGTATCATTTGACAAAAATTTGATATTTATAAAAGCTTAGTACATCAAAGATTGTCAATGCCAAATAAAATAATGCAATAAAAATAATAGTGGCTCCTTTCTACAAAAACATTAGTAAAATATGCTTTGTGAATTTGCTAGGGATATTTTCATATTAGAGTACAGTTTTAAAATATAAACAAAACTAAGATTTTAATGAATACATCACTGCTCCAGAAGCCTGGCTAACACTTTGCCCATTTTTATTTTCTTACTACTATATATTTCCTTTTTCTCATTTATTTAGTTTCATTTTTCAATTTTTAAATCATGTAATGTTTCTTTCCCTTTTCTTCATTCCTCTTCCATCTATATGCTCCTGCAAATTTCTCATTTTCCATATTATTAGTTTTCTCATATGTTCATTTATTCCACTAAACTATTATTTAATTCACATTAGGTATGCATAAATTAATGCTTCTTCCGAGAGCTTTCTTCTAGTAGATTTAATCTCTCTGAGGAGGGTGGACTGTCTGAGCCCAGGAATTCTAGACCAGCCTGGGCAACATGGCGAAACCCCCATCTCAACAAAAAATACAAAAATTAGCGTGGTGTTGTGCTGCACACCTATAGTCCCAGCTACTTAGGAGGCTGAGGCAGGAAGATTGAGTTCAGGAGGTCAAGGCTGCAGTGAGCTGTGACTGTGTCACTGCACTCCAGCCTGAGAGACAGAACAACACCCTATCTCAAAAATAAATATAAAAATAAATAAAATAAAATGAAAAATAAAATGTAAAAGTTAACATAGTATGAAACAACAATTTTTTTGAAAGTACTAAATCTCAAAAGTTTTAGGTATAGTTAATTTATTTATTATTTTTTCCCTATATTCTTATGCTGTAAATTATGTTTAATGATTCTTTTCATCTTTAAACCATGTTAATTACACAACTGTTACAAAAGAGAAATGATTTGCATTTCACTTCAGAATCAATGCCTTGAGGTCATTGCCATGAACCATGAAATTAAAATTTGCAAATGCAAAAAGCTCTGTTCAAAGTGAGACATATTAACAAAATTATATTCCTAATTTGATTTCATCCCATTTTCAATATGATACTGGATAGACAAAATTAACTAGTCAGTTTATATTTTAAAACCGTACTCTAATATGAAAATATCCGTAGCAAATTCACAAAGCATGTTTTACTAACATTTTGGTAGGAACGAGCCACTATTATTTTTATTACATTATTTTATTTGGCTTTGACAATCTTTGATGTACTAAGCTTTTATAAATATCAAGTTTTTGTTAAATGATACCATTTCTTTTGCATTTTATAAATATTTTATATCCAAAGTTGTACTTTGGGAGTAACATATATATCAAAGAGTCAATCCTGTGTAATAACAAAAGAAAACAAAAAAAAATCAAGGTATCACAACCACCAGATATAAATATGTGTGTTTCTTTTGTCCTGGTAAAAGTTGTCAGTCATAATTTTAATGTCTCTTGAGAAAATATTGTGTAATAATTCTCTTTCTGAGAATAATTTAAGAAATGAGCAAAATATATAGTAAAAATAATCTTTAAAGCATCAAAAAACTATCAAAATAGTTTTCATATGTTGCAAATTGACTAAAATGTAATTGATGGCCAGCTATAGTGAAAGTCATTTTTCTCTGCTTGCTTCCTTGTTCCTTGATACATATACTTATTATAATTCCTCCCTCATAACCACTGTGAGAAAGCCAATATTTCTTTTGTTTCAAAATATATGTGATGCATCTGGCTGACCCTGAGGCAAAGAGACTAAGAATCTTCATGTCTTAAATGGGCCCATTAAATCAAGAACTAGTTCTCAACAATGATAAGACTCTATCTCATTGATTCTAGAAATAAACCTAAGATACATGTTATAATTAAATATGAATGAATTTAGTGTTCAGTATGCAGCTTCATAGTTAAACTCTTTACGCATTTTTAGGCTGTGTGGATTTTGGAAGAAATAACTTTACAAAAATAATTTCTGAAAATATATGTTATACACAAAGTTTAAAAATATGACTGTAATTCATATGTTTATAGTGCATAGAAAGATTTTCAAGTAGTTATTTGAATCCAAAGATGTAGCTAAAATAAAATATAGAAAGTAAATTTTTATGAACCTTACTTCTGTCCAACTGGCAGATTGAGATGACGAATGATTCTTCCTCCTAGTTCAGCTATGTGCAATTAATTACTTGATTAAATAATAATCCTTAGCTTTTGGTGCTGAAAGGAAGTTGATGGTGTTTAAATCATAGGATTGGTGGTATTAGAATTTGGATTCGGTATAAACAGATTGTGTCTAGGATTTGAATTGTCTAAAAAAGGCTGAGAATCAAAAGTAAAGTCCCTTGACCCCATGTATACTCCTCGATCTGAGTCACTGATATTTAGAATGTCAGGGAAATATTCTTCACCTGCTTGCCTCTAGGGTTCCTGCATAATTTAAGCTATCTGCACCATATTCTAGGAAGAAAAAAGGTAAACATTATCTAAAGTAGCAAAGTAGTGTTGAGACTATAATCACACTAGCTGTGCAGGACAAGTACTAATGATGACTTGTCCAGAACTGGTAAAATCTTTAAGGACATTGTATCAGCATAAGAAAACTACCCCATGGGGTAGGCTCCATAATACCTCCTACTTTTAGGAATCCATATTTATCTCACTGTGGATGATCTAAGAAATGAAATTATCTCCACAATAAAGTCCATTGGCCAAAGACTGCTGGCAGAGCCACAGTGGGAGAATCGTTGGTAAAAGAACTGAAGATAATGGAATGATTTGAAGGAAACTTAAATTGAGTATACTCCAAATGTTCAAAAAGATAAAAGATGGAATCCAGAAAGGTATAAAGATTTTAAAACAAGAAAGATTTGAAGAGAACAAAGTAAATGAAAAATACAAAAAAATGTATTTCCAAAATATAACATAACAAACCTCAAAAAACAAAGTGTAGTAAAGAATTCATCCATTAATTGAAGGTAGATAACATGATAGGTTAAGACATTAGAATATAGGTCTATTTGTATTAGCAAAATAGGGGATAGAGGAATAATAGAATGGAGGAATGGGAAAGAGGCCATCTTTAATGAGAAGATAGCTGAGAATTTTCCAGAATTAGAGAAATATTTAAATTCTTAGATTAAAAAATTAAACCTTAATTATACATTTATAAAACCATAGAAATTCAAAGTTTGTGAAGAAAAGTTAAAAGCTATCAGATGAAAAATCTGAGCATACCCAAAAGTATGCCAATCAGAATTACAGCAGATTTTTTATCATAAGATAACATTAAGAAAAACAATATTATCCTCAAAGTGTGTCTTTTAAAAATTATCAGTCAAGAATCCTATACTAAGCTAAACCATAATTTAAGCATGCAGAAAAAATAAAGCTCTTATCAAGAAAAGTATCTAGAAAAAAGAATGAAGATTCAAGTTGTAATGATTAGCAAACAAATAATTTGAGACAGATAATTATTATATAATGATTATGTAATATAGATAATATTTTTTTTTTTTTTTTGAGACGGAGTCTCGCTCTGTCGCCCAGGCTGGAGTGCAGTGGCGGGATCTCGGCTCACTGCAAGCTCCGCCTCCCGGGTTCACGCCATTCTCCTGCCTCAGCCTCCCAAGTAGCTGGGACTACAGGCGCCCGCCACTACGCCCGGCTAATTTTTTGTATTTTTAGTAGAGACGGGGTTTCACCGTTTTAGCCGGGATGGTCTCGATCTCCTGACCTCGTGATCCGCCCGCCTCGGCCTCCCAAAGTGCTGGGATTACAGGCGTGAGCCACCGCGCCCGGCCAATATAGGTAATATTTTAATGTGCCTTATATCACTGTAAAAGTTAAACCAAATAACTTATTCAAAACAATTGACAGATTATGTAATAATATTTTTACATTTAGAAACTAACAGAGCTAAAAGAGACAAGTAAAGCTAGCACTTGAAAATGTTGAACAAATTTTCAGGAAGTTTAAGCAAAAGTAAAGTCTTTGAAGTGTCCAGAAAGAAGCTAAAAAATATTAATTAATTTTGTATATAAACATGCATACACATGTGTAATATATTTCATCAAAGGCCCGTCATAAAAAAATGCAGAATAACAAGTACTTATCTGATAGAAAATAAAATTGACTGAGGAATACTTTATCTCAAACTCTTGGCTCAAGTGATCCTCCTGTCTTGACCTCCCAAAGCACTGGGATTACAGATATGAGCCGCTGCACCCCGCCTCAGAAATATTTTATCAATCCAATAAAAATAGAAAAGAAATGAACTAAGGTAAATACATTGTAAATAGAATATAAATTATACAGGACAAGGAAATATAAAAACAATAACAACATAGTTATAAGCAATAATGTAAACTGAATAAACTCACAAATTAAAGCCTGTTAAATTGAATTTTTAAATAAAAATTTCCAATTATATTCCATTAAATTGGAGTTTGTAGGGCATAATATAATATGGAGATGTTAAAAATATAAGAATGGAAACTATATAACCAGGAAAGGAATGTATTAGCTATATTTTTATCTGTCATTCTGTCTATATAAATACAGATAGGTCTTTAAAAAAAACATTGTTTATTAAATAATTAATTGAGAAATGATACACTCTTGTAACATGTATACATTTTTAAATGCAAATAATTACCCAATTAAAGAATAACAAAAAACAGATTAAAAAGATACACACTACATTCATGGTATTAATTGTGTTTAGGGAAGCAGAAAGCTAAATGGGACTCAAGATTACATGAAAATAAGACATTATTCAAACAGAGAGTTAGCCATATGCAATATTTTATATTTTTAAAACAAAATCAAACAAGAAATCACAAGAACCACATGTGACAGTGTTAAAATAGTTGATTCTAGTTGGTGTCTATTGTATTCTCTCTCTCTCTCTCTTTGCGTGTGTGTGTGTGTGTGTGTGTGTGTGTGTGTGTGTGTGTGTGTATGTTTAGGCCTGAGTGAAAATACCTTAATCTTCAATTCTCTAGTCTATTTTATATTCTTAACTTTTATTATTCAAAATCTAATAATCAAAATAAACAAAACAGAAATAACTATAATAAAAGAAAAAAGAGGGGCAACATCTCTGATAAGCCCTTAATTGGGCTTATTTTTAAGTTTGTTATTACCAAAGTGAATGAGGAATATTACTGAAAGACATAAGCAGATAATGTTAATTTCTAGCCATTTTAGTTTCATCTGAACTTCTACAATAATGTTTTCATTTTTTTAATCGTTGGTCTTTTGCAGGTTTCATGTAGTCCTAGTTATAGCTTAGTTCCCATCCAGCATCATCACGTGATCCAGCTAACACTCACCAAGGACATTCCTTTGCTGTTTTCAATTATCTTCAATGAACCATTTCAAAAGAAAAAAAAAAAAAGCATGCCTGCTAAAATTGCCAAAATCTAATACTGCTCTTCACGAAGTCTAATTATGGCAAAATGGTAGTCTTTGTTTCAATAAATGTCCCAAGTGCAAAAGTAGCAGTAATTCAAATCTCTGTGTGTGTGTGTGTGTGTGTGTGTGTGAGAAAGGGAGAGAGACAAAGAGAAAGAGACAAAATATGTTCGTTTTTCTGTGTGAACAATATGGAATAATAAATTTTAGTAATTTTGGAATAGCTAGTCAGTGTAGACAAAATGAAAAGTTAGAATGGCATTTATTTAAATATTTGGACACTGACTATGTGAATTGTAAACAACTTTTTTGTGGTTATTACAGTCAATTGGTTTAAATAAGTTATTTGGCTTAACTTTTATAGTGATACAAGTTACATTCAAAGCAATATATATTTTACAGATAAAATATCGGATCAAGCGAAAAGCTAACTAGCAATAAACACTGAATTCTAAGTGATTAAATTTACTCTTTTCATGGACTAGCACAGTCTGATAATTTATTTTATGTATAACAGAATGTTTTTAGCCATGTTATTGTAGCTAAATCTCTCTTTCTCTCTTCTTACTCTTTTTCCACATTTGTATTTATAATAAACTAGAAAACCATTACAGTAGGTGTATTCTTTCTCAAATAAATTTGTCTTGTCACTAGAGACATATACAATCTAAATTGGGTCCTAAGTAAAGCTTAATATATAATATTGAACAAATAAAGAGCAATTACATGCATGTGTTCTGGTTTTTTTTTTTTGAGGGAATAAATGAAAGAAAATGAATTTAATGTGTAAGCAATTACACAATTGTTGATAATATTGTGCTGGCCTTGTTCCCTAAATGGGGAACATGTTGCATGTCATATCATTACCCTTAACTATGTAATCTGCCATGAAAAATGGTAAAGTGAAAAAAATACACATTTTTTAAAAATGTCTACATATTTATAACTCCATATTTCATAGCTACTATACCTATGACATTTTCAGGATAACTATTTCTCAGTTTACTAGCACCACAGTTTTTAAAATCTGGAGTATCAAAAATAGCATCAGATTTGAGTAGAACCTAATTAATATAAAGCACAAGGCAATAGAATTTATTTTAAAATGTTAATAGATCTATTATTTTTAATTTAAATGATTTTTAAAATATGAGAATTAAAATTAGCAAGCACTGATCTTGTGATTACTGTTGTGTACATTGATTTCCACTTTTATTTTATTTTATTTTATTATACTTTAAGTTCTAGGGTACATGTGCACAATGTGCAGGTTTGTTACATATGTATACATGTGCCATGTTGGTCTGCTGCACCCATTAACTCATCAGTTACATTAGGTATATCTCCTAATGCTATCCCTCCCCTCTCACCCCACCGTACAACAGGCCCCAGTGTGTGATGTTCCCCTTCCTGTGTCCAAGTGTTCTCACTGTTCAATTCCCACCTAGGAGTGACAACATGTGGTGTTTGGTTTTCTGTCCTTGCAATAGGTTGCTCAGGATGATGGATTACAGCTTCATCCATGTCCCTACAAAGGACATGAACTCATCCTTTTTTATGGCTGCATAGTATTTCATGGTGTATATGTGCCACATTTTCTTAATCCAGTCTATCATTGATGGACATTTGGGTTGGCTCCAAGTCTTTGCTATTGTGAATAGTGCTGCAATAAACATACGTGTACATGTGTCTTTATAGCAGCATGATTTATAATCGTTTGGGTATATACCCAGTAATGGCATGGCTGGGTCAAATAGTATTTCTAGTTCGAGATCCTTGAGGAATCTCCACACTGTCTTCCACAATGGTTGAACTAGTTTACAGTCCCACCAACAGTGTAAAAGTGTTCCTATTTCTCCACATCCTCTTCAGCACCTGTTGTTTCCTGACTTTTTAATGATCACCATTCTAACTGGTGTGAGATGGTATCTCATTGTGGTTTTGATTTGCATTTCTCTGATGGCCAGTGATTATAAGCATTTTTTCATGTGTTGTTGGCTGCATAAATGTCTTCTTTTGAGAAGTGTCTGTTCATATCCTTCGCCCACTTCTTGATGGGGTTGTTTGTTTTTTTGTTGTAAATTTGTTTGAGTTCTTTGTAGATTCTGGATATTAGCCCTTTGTCAGATGAGTAGATTGCAAAAATTTTCTCCCATTCTGTAGGTTGCCTGTTCACTCTGATGGTAGTTTCTTTTGCTGTGCAGAAGCTCTTTAATTTAATTAGATGCCATTTGTCAATTTTGGCTTTTGTTGCCATGGCTTTTGGTGTTTTACACATGAAGTCCTTGCCCATGCCTATGTCCTGAATGGTATTGCCTAGGTTTCCTTCTAGGGTTTTATGGTTTTAGGTCTAGCATTTAAGTCTTTAATCCATCTTGAATTAATTTTTGTATAAGTTGTAAGAAAGGGATCCAGTTTCAGCTTTCTACATATGGTAGCCAGTTTTCCCAGAAACATTTATTAAATAAGGAATCCTTTCCCCATTTCTTGTTTTTGTCAGGTTTGTCAAAGATCAGATGGTTGTAGATGTGTGGAATTATTTCTGAGTGCTCTGTTCTGTTCCATTGATCTATAACTCTGTTTTGGTACCAGTACCATGCTGTTTTGGTTACTGTAGCCTTGTAGTGCAGTTTGAAGTCAGGAAGCGTGATGCCTCCAGCTTTGTTCTTTTGGCTTAGGATTGACTTGGCAATGTGGGCTCTTTTTTGGTTCCATATGAACTTTAAAGTAGTTTTTTCCAATTCAGTGAAGAGAGCATTGGTAGCTTGATGGGGATTGGCACTGAATCTATAAATTACCTTGGGCAGTATGGCCATTTTCACAATATTGATTCTTCCTCTCCATGAGCATGGAATGTTCTTCCATTTGTTTGTGTCCTCTTTTATTTCGTTGAGCAGTAGTTTGTAGTTCTTCTTGAAGAGGTCCTTCCATCCCTTGTAAGTTGGATTCTTAGGTATTTTATTTTCTTTGAAGCAATTGTGAATGGGAGTTCACTCATGATTTGGCTCTCTGTTTGTCTGTTATTGGTGTATAAGAATGTTTGTGATTTTTGCACATTGACTTTGTATCCTGAGACTTTGCTCAAGTTGCTTATCAGCTTAAGGAGATTTTGGGCTGAGACGATGGGGTTTTCTAAATATACAATCATGTCATGGGCAAACAGGGACAATTTGACTTCCTCTTTTCCTAATTGAATACCCTTTATTTCTTTCTCCTGCCTGATTGCCCTGGCCAGAACTTCCAACACTATGTTGAATAGGAGTAGTGAGAGAGGGCATCCCTGTCTTATGCCAGTTTTCAAAAGGAATGCTTCCAGTTTTTGCCCATTCAGTATGATATTGGCTTTGGGTTTGTCATAAATAGCTCTTATTGTTTTGAGATACGTCCCATGAATACCTAATTTATTGAGAGTTTTTAGCATGAAGGGCTGTTGAATTTTGTCGAAGACCTTTTCTGCTTCTATTGAGATAATGATGTGGTTTTTGTCTTTGGTTCTGTTTATATGCTGGATTACGTTTATTGGTTTGCATACGTTGAACCAGCCTTGCATCCCAGGGATGAAGCCCACTCGGTTTGCCAGTATTTTATTGAGGATTTTGGCATCAATGTTCATCAGGGATATTGGTCTAAAATTTTCTTTTTTATGTTGTCTCTCTGCCAGGCTTTGATATCAGGATGATGCTGGCCTCATAAAATGAGCTAGGGAGGATTCCCTCTTTTTCTGTTCATTGGAACAGTTTCAGAAGGAATGGTACCAGCTCCTCCATGTACCTCTCGTAGAATTCAGCTGTGAATCCATCTGGTCCTGGACTTTTTTTGCTTGGTAGGCTACTAATTATTGCCTTAATTTCAGAGCCTGTTATTGGTCTATTCAGGGATTCAACTTCTTCCTGGTTTAGTCTTGGGAGGGTGTATGCGTCCAGGAATTTATCCATTTCTTCTAAATTTTCTAGTTTATTTGCATAGGGGTGTTTATAGTAGTCTCTGATGGTAGTTTGTATTTCTGTGGGATCGGTGGTGATAGCCCCTTTATCATTTTTTATTGCATCTATTTGATTCTTCTCTATTTTCTTCTTTATTAGTCTTGCTAGCGGTCTATCAATTTTGTTGATCCTTTCAAAAAACCACCTCCTGGATTCATTGATTTTTTGAAAGGTTTTTTGTGTCTCCATCTCCTTCAGTTCTGCTCTGATCTTAGTTATTTCTTGCCTTCTGCTAGCTTTTGAATGTGTTTGCTCTTGCTTCTCTAGTTCTTTTAATTGTGATGTTAGGGTGTCAAATTTAGATCTTTCCTGCTTTCTCTTGTGGGCATTTAGTGCTATAAAATTCCCTCTACACACTGCTTTAAATGTGTCCCAGAGATTCTGGTACGTTGTGTCTTTGTTCCTATTGGTTTCAAAGAACATCTTTATTTCTGCCTTCATTTCGTTATGTACCCAGTAGCCATTCAGGAGCAGGTTGCTCAGTTTCCATGTAGTTGAGCAGTTTTGAGTGAGTTTCTTAATCCTGAGGTCTAGTTTGATTGCACTGTGGTCTGAGAGACAGTTTGTTATAATTTCTGTTCTTTTACATTTGCTGAGGAGTGCTTGAGTGCTTTACTTCCAACTATGTGGTCAATTTTGGAATAAGTGTGATGTGGTGCTGAGAAGAATGTATATTCTGTTGATTTAGGTTGGAGAGTTCTGTAGATGTCTATTAGGTCCACTTGGTACAGAGCTGAGTTCAATTCTTGGATATCCTTTTTAACTTTCTGTCTCATTGATCTGTCTAATGTTGACAGTGGGGTGTTTAAGTCTCCCATTATTATTGTGTGGGAGTCTAAGTCTCTTTGTAAGTCTCTAAGGACTTGCTTTATGAATCTGAGTGCTCCTGTATGGGGTGTATGTATATTTAGGATAGTTAGATCTTGTTGAATTGATCCACTTTGTATGTGATGTTTCTGTACCATCCTAAAATATTATTTATGCTGGCTGATTGTATTTTCAAAATAATATAAATGTATATTGATTTAGTTCTGGGCAATTTAAAATAATGGTAATATTTAAGACTGTATTTAATGTAATTGACAAATCTGATAATTCAGAGATTGGGGTCTATCAATTTCAAAGTGATATTAGACTTGGAGGACAAAATTCCACAGAGAAGGGATCCACATAAAGTGAACTCAAATATCTTTGCACAATTTCTCCCGAAGTATTTGGCACCTGAGATAAACAAGCTCAGTGAGATACTACAACAGTTTGTACAGAAAACAGCAACTGAAAAGCTAAAGAATTTCTCAGAGGTTTCAGCAGCAGTGGAATACTGGGGAGGAAGAGGTCTATAACCAGTAAGATGAGAAACAATCCTAGTTTGCAGGTAAGACCCCAGAGGGGCACAGACAAGGGGTAGGGGCTAAGAACTAGAAGGAAGGCCAAAGTTGAAGAAATTCAGCCTGAAAGAAGAAGAAAAAAAGAAGCCTAAAACTAATCCTCTGTGGAATCGAAAGAATCAGCCTCTGCTCTATTTTCTGTCCAGAAAAATGTTTAACCCCCTTTGAGAAAAATATCAAACAGAGCATCTGTGAATTTCTATATATGATATCTGGCATTAAACACAAAAAAAGTATGAGGTATGATTTACCAAAAGCAAGTGACCAAAAACCAAGATAAAAAATTGACAAATCAGACATCACAGCTTACAGACAAGAATTTTATATAATGATTAATATGTTGGCAAGAATAGAGAAAAAAAGGAGACTATCAATATAAACTTCAAATCTTAAAAGATTCAATTTAAGTGTAATTTTAAAACCTCAAAAGGGTCCATTCAAAATTCTAGAAGTTAAAAATTATGTAGCTGAATACTCTGGTTCCAGCAGCAACATGTAAAGAAGTGCTTGGAAGTTGTCACTCCAGTCCTTACAATGAGAAGCAGCAGAACAAAAGAAAATCAATGACTTTTATTGAACTCGTCAGAGAACTGAGATTACAGGGAAAATTGCCAGTCGGAAATCTGAAGGGACAAACAAATCAAAAACCACAGCTAAGAACTGCTTACTCAGAGCAGGAGCCATGGGAACCATAAATGTGTCGGGACACTTAAATGGTAATTTTGATAACCATGACAATAAAAAAATCTAAGGAACACAGTCTTGGGAGAAGCCCCACATTTTGCAAGTCTACTATGTTTTCAAGGTGGATATCCTAGAAAGATCCCTTTGTGGCTCAGACAATGGAAAGGGAAGAGTAATAATTGTCAAATATTCCCAGCATGTTTTGTGTGTATAATGCCTGTTCTTCAGGGGAAAAATAAAAATCCACATTTTTATTTCAACTGGAGAATGAAGTATTTTACTTAGTCTCCAGTTCTCATCTAACTTTTCTACCTCATATTTAGGAAATTAAAAAAAAAAGCTGTGCCTTGGAAGAAATTTTTATGAAGGTCATAGCCCAGAGGCACAAGCTCATTAAAATATATAAATTAAATCAAAAGATTACAGAATGCTTCTCCTCCCCACATCACATGACCAGATCTTTATTATAATAACAGTAGATTATAATGGAAATAACTACAGTATTAGGAATCTCTTCATAGGATGAGTGTTTAAGGAAATCCAAAGTCAAGAGGGAAGCCAGAAACAAAAACACTAAAAGAATTTGAAGCCTCTGTCATTTATGGCTATGAAAACATTAAACACAGGCCAACTTCTACATTAACATAAATTATCACACTAAAGGCCTTTTACCTTTAATTTATTATCCGATAAACATGCCCAACTTGCAAAAAAAAAAAAATGGCAAGTTGAGATAGAGAGAGAAACAGAGAAAGTCTGAAGAAGCATTAGAAGCAAGAGCAGATGATACCACAGATGTAGGACTCGTTAGACAGGGAATTTATTAATAAAACAACTATGATTTTTTTTCTTTTATTATTATACTTTAAGTTTTAGGGTACATGTGCACATTGTGCAGGTTAGTTACGTATGTATACATGTGCCACGCTGGTGCGCTGCACCCACTAACTCGTCATCTAGCATTAGGTATATCTCCCAATGCTATCCCTCCCCCACTCCCCCCACCCCACAACAGTCCCCAGAGTGTGATGTTCCCCTTCCTGTGTCCATGTGATCTCATTGTTCAATTCCCACCTATGAGTGAGAATATGTGGTGTTTGGTTTTTTGTTCTTGCGATAGTTTACTGAGAATGATGATTAACAACTATGATTAATACGTTAAAGGCTGTAATGGAAAAGTAGACAACACAAAATAACAGATATTATAGTAAGTGGAATTATGGAAACTCTAAGAAGCAAAAGAATATGCTAGAAGTCAAAAACATTTTAAATAAAATAGAGAACAGACACTGACATAAAAATCAGTGAGCTTGAATACAGGTCAACAGAAGCTTCTCAAAATGACATGCAATAGCAAAGAGGTGTGAGCAATCAAGAACAGAAACATTTAAGAACTATGAAATTATTATGAAAGGTGTAACATTAGCATAAATAAAACATGTGAAGGAGAAAAAATTACAGGAGAAGAAACATTTGAGGAAATAATGACTGAGAGCTTTCCAATTTACAGCAGACCCTAATCTACAGAGTCAGGAAGCTCAGTGATTACCAAGAAGAATAGATATCAAAGCAAAATCGAACAAAACAAAACATACCTAGGCATCTCGTGTATAAAACATAGATAAACAGAAAATCTTGAAAGAAGTAAAATTGACAAAAGCATCTCACCTAGAGGAGAATGAGGATAGGAATTACAGTAGATTTTTTGTAAAAAATCATGCATGCACCAAGAGAGTGGAATAAAATATTAAAGTGTTGAAGGAAAAACATTAAATCTAGAATTCAATTTTCACCAACATTGTACTTCCATTTAAAAAACAATTACATTATTTCTTAGATAAAAAAAAAACTAAGGGAATTAATTGCAAGCATAATTACCATGCTAGAAAAATTAGTAGTCCTTCAGAGAGAAGGAAAATTATATAGGTTAGAAATGTGGATTGACATAAAGAAAGGAAGAACAGAGAAGAAATAAATTATGGTAAAATAAAATCTTTTCTCATTCTTACTTTTAATGTTAAAGATAACTGTCTAGTTTAATAGTAGAAAGAATGTATTAGATGGTTATCACACATAGATAAATAAAATAAATGACCAAAAAATTCATGAGATGATAAGAAGGAATTGGGAATATTCTGTTACAAGATACCTGCACCATGCATGAAATCACATAGAGTTACTTGAAGTGGGCCTAAACTAGTTGTAAATGTATATTGTAAATTGTAGAACAACTAATAAAAAATTTTAAAACAGAAGCACAATTGCTGGACTAAAGAGACAAAATGGAATTATATAAAATGCTCAGTTAAAACCACAGAATGCATAAACAGAGACGAAGATAAAAAAATACACAAAGATACAAAGGAAAAGTGTAAGGAATACACAACATTGAGAAACATGGTAAATACTACTTCAGCTATGTCATTAAAGCTTTGAATATGAATGGTCTCAATGCAGCAACTAAAAGACAGAGATGTCAGAATGGATTAAAAAAATCCCAACATATGTTGCATACAAAAAAACCATTTTAAGTGTGAAGACACAAATAGATTAAAAGTAAAGGGGCATAGAAAGATAAAATATGCTAACACTGATAAAAAGAAAGCTGAATAGTTATATTGATTTCCAACAAATCAGACTTTTAAACAAGGAAAATTATTGGGGATGTAGAGGGGCACTACATACTGGTAAAGTGCAAATTCTCCAATAAGAGATAACAATACAAAATGCGTATGTGCCTAACAACTGAGTATCAAAATGCATGATATATAAGAAAAAATGAAATCATGTCCTTTGCAGTAACATAGATGCAGCTGGGAGGCCATTATCATAGGCGAATTGAAGCAGAAACAGAAAACCAAATATTACACATTCTCTCCCATAATTGGGAGCTAAACAATGGATACACATGGACACAAAGATGGGAACAATAAACACTGAGGATTCCAAAGGTGGGAGACAGGGAGGGGGTAAAGATAGAAAAACTACCTAGCAGGTAATACATTCACTGCTTGGGTGAGAAGATCGTTAGAATCCCAAATCTCAGCATTATGCAACATACCCATGTAACAAACATACACATATACGGGCTGAATCTAAAATTTCTTAAAAAGACATTACAAAGCTAATTTATGATATTTTGATATTGGCACAAGGATAGGAAAATAGACCCAGTAACAGAACAGTTACTAGAGTACTGTACTAGAATCAAATCCAGCTATATCTGCAATGCTATGTATAAATGGTCTTTTTAATAAATGGTGCTTGATCAATTGGGAAAAAATGCATAACTGATATAACTGAGAAGATATAGACAAGTATACTATTATAATTGACATTTAACTCTTTTTCTAAATAATTGATAGATCAAGCAGGGAGAAAGTCATTAAGGATATAAATGAACTGAACAGCAGTATCCACCAGCTCAATTGAGATTTTCAGAATACTCCATCCAACAAAATTAGAATCATCCCATGAAATATTCTCTAAGGTGGATGACATTGTGACCGTAAAACATATTTCACCAAATTTAAAAGAATAGAAATCATACAAAGTGTATTCTTAGACCACAATGAAATTAAACTAGAAAACCCAATAAGAAAAAAATAGCAGAAAAATCCTAGATTTTTGGAAATAGTAAACATTAGAACATACTTAAATAAAATAAGTGGTCCCAGGCAAAATAAAAATATTATGAACTAAATAAAAATGAAAACAAACCCACAAATTATCAAAAATTGTGTGATGCAGCAAAAACAATGCTTTGAGGAAAATGTGTACATGGGATGCATATATTTAACAAAGGGGAGATCTGAAATCAATATGCCAAGGAAACTATAGAAAGAAGAATTTTTCAGCCTAAAGCAAACAGAAGAAAAGAAATAATAAAAACTGGACCACAAAGCAATGAATTAAAAATGGAGAAATGATGGAGAAATTCAATGAAAAAAGTGATGGTTATTTGGAAAAACACCAACAGGATGTTTAAATTTCTAGCCAGTCTACGTAAGATAAAAAATAAATAAAATAATAATTACAAATCTTAGTATTGAAGGAGTGTTTATCATTAATCATTCTATGGACATTAAAAGAATAACAAAGAAACACTACGCCCACCTATGTTCCACCATGTGATAATTTAGATGAAATTAATTCCATATAACAAACAAGTTGCCAAAACTCAAATAAAGGGAAAATAGATAATCCTAAAGGGAATTTTGTATATTAAAAATTCAAATTAATAATAAACTAAAAAAAAAAAAGTAGGTCCAAGTGGGTTAACTCTTTAATTGTTATAGGCATTTTAAAAAGAAATGTCATCAACTTTTTACAACATCTCCAGAAAATGGAAGCAGACAGAAAACATCCTAACTCATTCTTTGGAGTCTTAGCATACCCTGACACCAAAATCATATCAACATTGCAAGAAAATTATAGACCAATATCTTTCATAAAGACACATGCAAAAACCCTCAACAAAATATTAGCACATGGACTCCAACACTGCACACAAAGAATTATACACTACTTCATGATCAAGTGGGATTCATTCCAACCACGCGAGACTGCCTCAACATTTGAAAACCAATAAATATAATCCACCACATAAAAAGGACAAAGAAGAAAAATATGATCATCTCAATTGATGTATTTGATAAAATCCAACCTCCATTCATGATACAAACTGTTGTATTTATATTTTAGTCTTATTTTCTATTTTTTAATGTTATAATAGTTACGTTAATTTAAAAAATTACTTTATACCAAACAATGTAGACATTTATTTATTTATTTATTTATGGGATGGAGTCTCCCAAGCTGGAGTGCAGTGGTGTAAACTCAGCTCACTGCAACCTTCACCTCCTGGGTTCAAGTGATTCTCCTACCTCAGCCTCCTGAGGAGCTGGGATTACAGACATGCGCCCTCACGTCCAGCTAATTTTTGAATTTTTAATAGAGACGAAGTTTCACCATGTTGGCCAGGCTGGTCTCAAACTCCTGACCTCAGCTGATCTGCCTGCCTCGACCTCTCAAAGTGCTGGGATTACAGGCATGAGCCACTGCTCCTGGCCTATTTTTATGTTTTTATTTCAATAGTTTTTGGGAAACAGGTGGTGTTTGGTTATATTAATAAGTTATTTAGCAGTAATTTCTGAGATTTTGGTGCACCCATGACCTGAGCAGTGTACACTGTACCGAATGTGTAGTCTTTTATCCCTCACCACCTCACCCTTCCATGCTAAGTCCCCAAAGTCCACTGTATCATTCTTATACGTTTGTGTTCTCATAGCTTAGCTCCCACTTAAAAGTGAGAACATACAATGATATAGTCATGCTTTGTGTCCCCACCCAAATCTCATCTTGAGTTGTAATCCCCATAATCCCCACGTGTCAAGGGAGAGATCAATTACAGGTAGTAGAATCATGGAGGCTGTTTTCTCCATGCTGTTTTCATGATACTGAGTGAGTTCTCAAGAGATCTGATGGTTTTATAAGGAGCTCTACCCTCTTCGCTCAGCACTTTTTCTTCCTGCTGCCCTGTGAAGAAGGTGCCTTGCTTCCCCTTCACCTTCTGCCATGATATTAAGTTTCCTGAGGCCTCTCCAGCCTTGCTGAACTGTGAATCAATTAAACTTCTTCCCTTTATAAATTACTCAGACTCAGACAGTTCTTTATAGCAGTAAGAAAACAAACTAAAGCATACAATGTTTAGTTTTCCATTCCTGAGTTACTTCACTTAGAATAATGGTCTCCAACTCCATCCAATTTTCTGTGAATATTATTTTGTTCCTTTTTATGGCTGAGTAGTATTCTATGGTAGATATATATATATATATATATATATATATATATATATATATATATATATATAATATTTTCTTTATCCACTCATTGATGAGCATTTGAGCTGGTTCCATATTTTTGCAATTGTGAATTGTGCTGCTCTAAACATGCATGTCAAGTATTTTTTTCATATAATGATTTATTTTCCTCTGGGTAGATACCCAATAGTGTGATTTCTGAATCAAATGGTAGTTCTACTTTTAGTTCTTTAAGGAATCGCCAAACTGTTTTCCACAGTGGTTGTGCTAGTTTACATTCCCATCAGCAGTGGAAAAGTGTTTTGTTTCCACTACACCTAGGCCAACATCTATTTTTTTTTATTGTTAAATTATGGCCATCCTTGATGGAGTAAAGTGGTATGGCATTGTGATTTTGATTTGCATTTCCCAGATAATTAGTAAAGTTGCACATTTTTTATATGTTTGTTGGCCATTTGTATATCTTCTTTTGAGAATTTTCTATTCATGTCATTAGCCCACTTTTTGATGAGATTGTTTTTTTCTTGCTGATTTGAGTTCCTTGTAGAATTTGAATATTAATCCTTTGTCATATGCATAGTTTGCAAAGATTTTCTCCCATTCTGTGGGTTCTGTTTACTCTGCTGATTGTTTCTTTTGCTGTGCAGAAGCTTTTTAATTTAATTAAGTCCCATCCATTTATCTTTGTTTTTGTTGCATTTGCTTTTGGGTTATTGGTCATGAAGTCTTTGCCCAAGCCAATGTCTAGAAGGGTTTTTCTGATACTATCTTCTAGAATTTTTATGATTTCAGATTGAACATTTAAGTCCTTGATCCATCTTGAGTTGATTTTCCTATAAGGCAAGAGATGATAATCCAATTTCATTCTTCTACATGTGGCTTACAACTATCCCAGCATCATTTGTTGAATAGGGTGTACTTCCCACACTTTATGTTTTTGTTTGCTTTGTTGAAGATCAGTTGGTTGTAAGCATTTGGCCTTATTTCTGGGTTCTCTATTCTGTTGCATTGGTCTATGTGCCTATTTTTATACCAGTACCATGTTGTTTTGGTGACAATAGATTTGTAGTATAGTTTGAAGTCAGGTAATGTGATGCCTCCAGATTTGTTCTTTTGTTTAGTTTTGCTTTGGCTATGCGGGCTCTTTTTTGGTTTCATATGAATTTTAAAATAGTTTCTTTCTCTAATTCTGGGAAGAATGTCAATGGTAGTTTAGTGGAAACAGTATGGAATCTATAAATTAGTATGGTCACACTCACAATATTGATTCTACTCATTCATAACATGGGATGTGTTTCCATTTGTTTGTGTCATCTATGATTTCTTTCAACAGTGTTTTGTAGTTTTCCTGTAGAGGTGTTTCACCTTCTTGGTTAGGTATATTCCTAATTACTTTACTTTTTTACAGCTTTGTAAAAGGGATTAAGTTCTTAATTTGATTCTCAGCTTGGTCTCTGTGGTATAGTAGTGCTACTCATTTATTTATATTAATTTTGTATCCTGAAACTTTCACAATACAAACTCTTAGAAAACTAGGTATAGAAAGAAATCTCCTCAACTTTATAGACAGTATCTACATAAAACCTACAGCTAACATTGTACTTAATAGTGAGAAACTGGATGTCTTCCCTCTAAGTTCAGGGCAAAGGAAAACATTTCCTTTCAACCAGTCCTTTTCATCATTTTACCGGAAGTCCTAGTTAGTGCAATAATACGAAAAAAGTAAGTATAGTTATACAGATTATAAGTGAAGAAGTAAAACTCTCTCTACTCATAGATGACATGATTGTATATGTAGAAAATCACAAGAAAATCCTATAGGTAATATGCAGTTACAGCAAAGTTAATATACAAAACAAACAAAGAACTAAGGTTAACATACAAAAGCCAATGACTTTCTTATATAGCAGCAATTAACAATTGGAATTTGAATTTAAAAAAGCAATATCATATATAATAACCAAAAAAATGAAATACTAACACAGAAACTTAACAAAATATGTAAATAACATATATACAAAAACTACAAAACACTTATGAAAGAGATCAAAGAAGATCTAAATGAATGGAGAGAAAAGTTCATGTTCAAGGATTAGAAGACTCAGCTTTTTTTTTTTTTTCCTTCAAGATGGCTAACTAGAGACACTGGACACCAGTTCTCCTCAGAAAGAAGGACCAAAATTACATATAGATAATCACATCTTGAATAGGCTATCAAGGAGGGTTTACTAGAACCCAATAGAGAACTCCTGGGAAAACAACAACAACAAAAAAAAACTGAGGCACAGAAAAGGAAGAAAGCAAGAGGCCAACGTGGCTAGCATAGATCAGCTGGGAGTCACAAGGGACTTGGTGTTGTGTGGAAAAGGTAAGTGGAAATACTTTTACTCCCCTCATTCCTGTGGCAGACTGCCAGTATTTAAACTGTGGGAGAACTCCTCTGCACTTGCAAGCCCTGACATCATTGAAGGTAATGATTTGGAGATTTCTCGAGAACATTACACCAGACTATGAATTCAGGCTGCGTCACTTGCCTTCCCCTGACACTCAAGTGACTGTGGTGTGTTGCCATTGTCAGGGCACAGCCACTGGGGGACTGTATCTTTCCCTGGGAACCTCAGCTCTTGTGCTCCACATCTTGGGAGTTCTTGCAGGTATTCCTCAGCACCTACTCAGACAGCAGCAGCAGTACAGTGCTAGCTGGACCCAAGATAACTGCAGGGTTCCCAGGGATCTAGCCCTCAGGGAGTACTACTCCTAAGGGAAAGTAAAGTGTAGCATACAACAGGGAAAGCCCCTGGGACAAAGGAAACCAAAGCACATGCCTTCTAGGGTCTACCAGCTCACTACATGGGGCTGTGATTGGCAACTCCATCCGCCAGAGACACAAATTCTGTGCTGGACTCTGTAAGCAAGAAGCAAAATCCCATCCCACTGGCCGAGTCACCTCGGTGCCCTAACCCATGCATAGAGGGGAGGACTTCTCCCTCTCCACTCATCACGGCAAAGGCTGCCATTTCTCCTTCCATGGGAAGTTGACACAGGCAAACTAGAAGGCAGGCTGCCTGGGAATGTGAAGGGTGGCTGAGTGTCCACCGGCAGCATGAACTCCTGACCCCAGCTTGCCCAAAATGTAGGGTCCTTCCCCATCTCTGCATGAAGTTGTAGCTTTCCTGCCATGGAGACCAGGAGAGCTGTAGAGCTGTATTTGGTGTTGTTGGGAGAGACTTTACACTGTGCTCCAGACCACACAGAAGTTTAGTGGTGAGCCATGGAGCAGGCATCTCCTATGGCTCCATGCCACATTGCAATTTGGAAGTAAACAGCAGTGTTTAACCAAGCTGAATATCCCAAGCACCAGGATGGGCATATGACAGATAAACAGATCACATTCCTGCCTGCCAAGGCCACAGCACTGAGATAGTCCCATCCTTCTCTCCCAACCCCTTTTCAGGGACCTCAGCACATTTCATAAAGGTCCCAATGACTTCCCTGCTACCCCCATCGGGGTTGGTGCTTGAACGTGCTATTAGTGGACCCAAGGGCAGCAGGCTTGTTCGATCCAGCTCCATTTAGCTTCATCCTTTCTCCCAGGCTGTGTTCTGGGAACAAGCCCATTGTCTGAGGCCCTGGAGTGCTTCCCTCCATAAGTGAAGATCAGGCATAAACCATGCTGCTGCCACCGGCAGTCAGTTCTTATCTGTGAGTGCCACCTACTGGCCTGGAGGTTGACCTGAACAACCCAGTACAAACTCTTTTGACACAAGTATTAAACGTAATGGCAAAAGTTGGCATTCTGATACAATCTAACTTCAAGACTTACTATGAGGCTACAATAATCAAGAAAATGTGGCATTGGGGTAAGAATATAAACACAGATCGAGAGAACAGGATAAAGCCCCAAAATACATGTAAACAAATATGGTCAATTTATCTTTGACAAAGAAGCAAAAGCAATTCAATTGAGAAATTACAGTCTTTACAAGAAATCACGCTGAAGCAAATTGGATGCCCATTGCATAGTTTGTTTGTATTGCTATAAAAGAATACCTGATCCTGGGTAATAATATAAAGAAAAGTGGTTTCTTTGGCTCATGGTTCTGCAGGGTGTGCATGAAGCATAGTGCCAGTGTCTCCTTCTGGTGAGGGCCTTAGGAAACTTACAACTATGGAAGAAGGCAAAGGGGAACGAGAGTGTCACATGGAGAGAGAGGGGATAAGAAGAGAGAACAGAGAAAGTGCTAGGCTCCTTTAAACAACCAGCTCTCATGTGAACCGATAGAGTGTGAACTCACTCATTACCATGAGGAGAGCACTAAGCCGTTCATGAGGGATTTGCCCCCATGATCAAAACACCTCCAACCAGGCCCCGCCTCTAACACTGGGGATCACATTTCAGCATGAGATTTTGGAGGGGACAAACATTTAAACTATATCATCTATATGTAAAAGATGAACTTAAGCATCTTACACTTTTCATTAAAATTAACTCAAAATTGATAATAGAGCTAAATGTAAAATACAAATTATAAAATTTCTTGAAGAAAACAAAAAAGTGTGCATGACCTGGGTTTGATTATGGGTTTTTAAATACAACATTAACAGGACAATCCACAAATTTAGCTATCAAAATTATAAACTTTTGCTCTGCTAATGACACTATTGAAGGAATGGAAAGATAAGCCACAAACTGCAAGAAAGTATTTGCAAAACACATATCTGATGACGGACTTGTATCTAAAATATATAATGGACTTTTAAAACTCAACAGGAAAGTGAACAGCCCAATTAAAGATGGGCAAAATATCTGAATATCAGACACCTGACAAGATGATACACAGATACCTTAAGTAAATAAAAAGATGTACAATAATATTTGTTATTAGAGAATTGCAAATTAAAATGACAATGAGATATACTATTACATACTAACTAGGGCGGCTAAAATCCTAAAATATAAATAAAACAAAATAAACAAAAAAAGCAAACCTGACAATGCCAACTGTTGGGACATTTTGAAGACAGTTTGGCAATTTCTTCCAAAGCTAAATATATTTTTACCAAAGGTCTAGCAATCATGCTGCTAAGTGTTTACCTAACTGATTTAAAAAAGTCCACAAAAATTAACTTTTTATAGCATTATAAATGTTTATAGCATTTATAGCATTGATAATCACCAAAAGGTAGAGGCAACAAGGATGTTTCAATAGATAAATAGATAAATAAGCTGCAACATATTTATAAAATGGAGTCTATTCAGTGGTAAAAAAGAGATGAGCCATTAAGTCACAAAAACACATAGATAAATCTTAAATGCCTATTGCTGATTGGAAGAAGGCACTTTAAAATAGCTACATATTATATGATTGCAATGTATATAACATTCTGAAAAAGGCAAAACTATGTGAAGACAGAAAACAAATAAGTTTTCCAGGGTTTTAGGAAGGCAGTTGTTCAGTTGGTAAAACACAGGGGCTTTCTTTTTTTTTTATGAAGGTGAAACTTTTATATACAATACTGTAATGTTGAGTACTGGACTGATACTATGACATTGAGGACTAGACACTAAGCACTTGGCAAAGTCTACATAAGCTTATAATATGAAAAATTACCTTAATGTATGCAAGTTTTATCAAATATAATTTAGGAGATCAGGAGATTCCAGCATAGAATTCAGAAAATGACAAAGAATATAAATGAATTACAAATGCATAAAATAAACTTGTTCAAGGGTTAGGGTAATAAGGTGATAACCCAAATAACTGTTGAAATGACTGGAATTCGTAAGAATAACAGCAAAAAGTAACTACATAATCGCTCCAGTTGATAAAGTAGCATCTACAAGGGTAAAGTTAATTAATCATTCTTAAACCGCTATACGTAAACAGTATAACTGAACAATTACATAAGGTTGATGGCAAATGTTGGTAGCTGGAATTCCTACAGTTAGATTTGGAGATTTTAAATAAGCAAGAGAAGGAGGCAAGAATGATCTATGTGATAACATGTTAAGATTTGGAGGCATTGGAGTAAACTCATGTTTAGATTAATATCCATACAGATGGTTAAATATTAAAAACATGGAGATACAAATTTTTAAATACATGGGATAGTATTCAGGTGTATATCTCCTTGTGGTAAAGCTAGAACCAATGGGCGTCCCGTAGCAACAAGGAAACCTGACACTCAGATCTTGGTTTCTAATATTATTATTCAGTAAAAGGGACCAGAACCAGACCCCCTGGAGAAATATCTGTTTATAGGACTGACTCAGGTTAGATACAAGGTAAGCCTGGAACATCCTGTAGTATTAGAGTATAAGAATATGTTAAAGAAAAAACAGCAAAAAACACACACACACACAATGATAAGGGTATGTCAGAAGACATAGGAGCAAAATGAAAGAGCTTGCAATGGCCACTAATAGAACAATTTGAGTGATAAAATAAAGTAGTACTGGGTTTTAACCAAATGTATAAAGTAAATATATGTGAACCAATAGAGGAATCAATAAATCATTGAATAGATAAATAAATGAAAGAGAAGAGACAAATTTATCACATGGAATAATTCCAAATAAATCCTGTAGATACTCTACCCTTGATGACATGCATCAATACTTTGCCCTTCTTAAGTGTAGGCTACACGTTTTCATTTTCTTTCACAGAGTATAATATGGAAAGGGAGGAAGAAAGATTAGTTTTACAATGGAGGAACCTATCAAACTCTGCCTCAGCCAGTTAATCAAGATTAACATCAACAGTGCTGAGTCAAATTGAAGGTAGGTATTAACCTTGGGATAATGTGATGAGAATGTCACATTAACTTTGTGGTCTAACTCTTAAAAACATACGGCCTTGGTTTAATCATGAGAAAAACTTCATATACGTTCTAATTTAGGGATATTCTGCAAAATATCTGATGAGTACTCCTCAATACTGTCAAGATAATCAAAAACAAGGAAAGTCTGAGAAACTGCCACAGTCAGAAGTAGCCTAAGGACTCATGACAACTAAATGTAATATGTTATTATAGTTGAAATTATGAAACAGAAAAAGGATTAAAAACTAAACAAATTTGAAAAAACTGTCGACATTAGTTAAAAACAATTTATCAATATTGGCTCACTAATTATAATAAAAGTGCCATATTAATATTAGATATTAATAATGGGAAAATGAATATGAAATATATGTGGAATCACCATAGTATCTTCACTATTTTTCTGTAAATCTGAAATGATTCAAAAATAAAATGTTTATTAATGAACAATATAATATCTGAAACAGGTGGATCCAATAACAGATTAGAAAACACATTGATAATCAGGAACTTAGGTAACTTTAAAATGTTGAGATTGAAGCAAAGATTGAAAAAGAGATGGAAAATGACAAAAGGAATGTAATAGTGCAGCGGAAAACCATAAAAGATCTCAAGTAATTGCAACTGAAATCTCTCCAAAAAAAAAAAGGAGAGAAAGAAGCTATAGTTGAGGTAATACTTAAGAATTTTCTAAAACTGACAAAATATATTAAATCACAGATTCAAGAAACTTTACAAATCCTATAGAGGATTAAAACAATGGTCAGAAATCCAAGAAGGTCAAATTCAAGTCCTGTATGAAAATCTAAGAGAGGAAACTAACTTATTACGGTGATGAATCAGAGGACGTTTTCCATGGAAGATATGAATAATTACAGGGCTATAGCAAGGTGAAAAAGGCAGAAAAAGAAGTATTCAAGGTAAAGACAACAGGAAATATAAAATCCATATGCAGGAAGGAGCATGGCAAATAAAAATGTTATGGTAGGCAAACCAGAATTTTCAGCATTCTTGAAGTGAGGAGAAAAAAAATGTATTTTGAAGTCTGTTCATTCGTCGGGCACAGTGGCTCATGCCTGTAGTCTCAGCACTTTGGGAGGTCAAGGCAGGAGGAGAGCTTGAGCTCAGGAGTTTGAGACCACACTGGGCAACGTAGCAAGACCCTGTCTCTACAAAAAATACAAAATTAAAAAGTAGCTGGGTGTGATGGCACGTGCCTGTGGTCCCAGCCACTTGGGAGGCTTAGGTGGGAGGATTGCTTGAGCCTGGGAGGTCAAGGCTGCAGTGAGCCATCATTGTGCCATTGCATTCTAGCCTAGGCAACAGAGTAAGAGCTTGTCTCAAAAAGAAATAAATAACAATAGGTAAAATATGTTAATGAGAGGGCTCGTTAATGCAAAGTTGGGAAACTATGAGAGTTACAAACTGTGAACTGTGAGGTGAATCTTGTTTCTGTATCTGTCATTTTCTGAGCCTTACTGTCCCTAAGAGTCTGGCATACTGTCTCCAAGCAGCTCCAAAATTCAGATACTAACCTATTAGTCTCAGCTGGAGGTCTTAGAAAATCAGTCTGATCACCCCAGCTTGGGACATGAGCTTGTATTAGTACACCAGCTAGAGAGGGACCAACACTATCATTTAATGTTACCACAGTAGTATTAGCCAGGTAGATTAACTTCACCCCAATCTCAACCATTCTTGACTCTAGCTTGCATCCCTGCTTCTTTAGACAAATACTGATTACTGAAATGTTTGCTTTCAAATAAGAGAATTACATGTGTATTATTGAATATAAGAAACTGAGCAGTACTCTCCACATCAGAGAACAGAAAACAATGGGAAGCCCTATACCCAGAATACTAGCACTGAAACCCACATCCTGGTAGCCCATTTCCATATTTCCTCTAAAGACCCAGAGACAAACTGTCATAAGATGATAGGACAGGCACAGACAGGATAAAGCCTTTCAATATAAAATGTTAGTGAGGTGGAACCAGAGTTGATTAACAGCTGGACTGGGAAAGCTCGGTCTTTTTATCTTGGGACTTCTGAATGTCTGGTTTTTGACTCTTGGCAAGATGAGAGTCATGGGATTTATGATGCAATGTTTAAGGTCTGACACTTCCCTGGTGACCCACAGGACCAATTTCTTAACAGCTGCTTTGCAACTGGCCAAACTTATTTGACAAGAGTAGTTTGATTATTTAAAGGGATAGTGATTTTTTTTTGGAGAAGCACCCCCTAGTCCAAGATTTCTGCATAGATCATGGCAGCTAAAGCCAGAGACTCAGCATGGTCCGTGAATGTGTTTAAAAAAATTTTCTTAAAAGGAAGTCATTGTGGAATGTCTCTTTAATCTCTAATACCTACCTGCACCCTGTTTTACTCTATTGCATCTTTGTCTTTAAATAAAATCCTATGTGATTATAGTTTGTGGAGAATAGTGAGTCCTTTCAAATATCAGAACCAGGATAAGCGACACAAGTATACAAATAGAAATGACCAAGTATTTGAGGAAAGCCAATAAAATGACTAAATGTAATTGATATTTTCAAAGACATGTTAGAATATAGTGTATCAATAAACAATCAAGCTAACCACGTAGGATTTTAAAGCTTGCTAGATGAAAGTAAAAGCTAATGATAAAAATAGTAATAAAAACCTTAATAGGCTCAGGTGAATTTCTGTATAGATACTTTTGAGTAGTGAATTAAATGGCTGTAAAATTCAGTGTAGGAACTAGTTCAAAATATAGTACAAAAGAATAAGGGAATACAATGATAAAAGTTGAGACATGGCAAATGAATAATAAAGTTTAACATCTGTCTACTAGAATAAGAGAACTAAAAGTAGAAAATAGAGAGATTCTATCGGATTTCAAACAGGGATAACTGAACTGAAGAAAATAGAAATACTTATACTTTCTTTCTTTTTTCTTTTTACTTTTTTTTTCTTTTTTGAGACGGAGTCTTGCTCTTTGGGCCAGGCTGGAGTGCAGTGGCGTGATCTCTGCTCACTGCAACCTCTGCCTCCTGGGTTCAAGTGATTCTCGTGCCTCAGCCTCCCTAGTAACTGGAATTAGAGGCGCCTGCCACCACACCCGGCTAATTTTTGTATTTTCAGTAGAGATGGAGTTTCACCATGTTGGCCAGGTTGGTCTTGAACTCCTTACCTCAAGAGATCCCCCAGCCTTGCCCTCCCAAAGTGCTGGGATTAGAGGTGTGAGCCACCATGCCTGGCCAACACTTACACTTTCTTTTGAAAAATGTTTCCATGAATTTCTGATATTCTCATTTCAAAGTGGAACAGAAAATAAACCACTTTACAATATTCAACAAACATATACGTAGACATATACATACATATGCATGTATGTATTTATACTCTTAGTTTCTCTTATCCTTTGAATCTGTAATAATTTCTTTAATCTTTAACTTATCTTAGCCTAAGATATGTGTCAGAAACTGTAAATTGGCTTGGTATAATCATTCCTACCCCTTTCTAGCACATATCTCTTTTCAGTAAGGATAGACAGCTAAGAACCAGAACAAAAGAAAGCAAAAAGCAAATAAAAATTCATACATATTTTAGTCTAAATGCATATATTTCTGGTTATTGTTTGATTTTCACCAATCTTATACACATGTGTGAAGCTTTAAAAGTAAGCTACCTATAGAGGGTGGCAAAGTATAGCACATCCATTTTGATGGTGGGGTTTAATGGCTCAGACCCCATATCTATGGTTCTTTGATTCTGCGTTTTCCTGCTCATGCCAGAGGCACTGACTATCTTTGAGAGCCAGTTATATTGTGTGGTTATAGAAACTATTCTTGAACATTCAACCCATAGACTATTTCCTGAATGCCTGCCATGATTCTATGAGCCATATATACCCTTTAATAAATCTCCATCTACTTAAAATCCTTTTCAAGGACATTCTTTTGTTTTCAAATAAGATTTTTGTCACAAATTCAGAAGAATATTCCTATAAGCATTAGGATTCTTACATGAACTAGATAAAGTTATTGTTTTAGGAACTATATTTAAGTTGTACTTGCTATACATAGGTGCTAAATCAAAAAGAAAGCTAGTGTGGCCCTATGGATATCTGAAAAAGTAGACTTTAGAACCAGAAGTACCAGTGATGGGCATTACCTGATGATGCAAAAGTCAATTCACCAAAAGACATAACAACCCAAAATGTGTATGAACCTAATAACAGAATACTTAACTACTTGAAGTATAACTGATAAAAATGAAAGGACAAAGAGACAAATCCATAATTAAATATAGAGAATTCAATTCTCTAAAACTGATAGAAAAAGTCGAAAGGATGTCAGCAAGAAAGTTAGATTTGAAAATTGCTATCAACCAACTCCACCTAAAGAAAAAACAAGCTAGGACTTAGGAAAAAATCAGTTCAAAGAATCTTGTCTCGCTCTGTATCTGTCATTTTCTGAGCCTTACTGTCCCTAAGAGTCTGGCATACTGTCTCCAAGCCCCTCCAAATATTCAGATACTAACCTGTAAGTCCCAGCTAGAAGTCTTAGAAAATCGATCTGACCAACCCAGCTTGGGACATGAACTTGTATTATAACAACTACTCTGGCTAATGGTTGAGAGTCTAGATTTGACCTAACTGGGTCATATATCACTCCTGTGGAAGGAGAAAGAGCATTGTGAGACTCCATCAGACTCCACGATTTGAGTGAGGGGAGCAAAATCTCCCTAAACAAAATGGTGAAGGGAGGATTTTGGGTGGTAAAACAATAAATATCAGTGACATTCTACTTCATTGACATCTTTTCCACCAACATTCCATTTTGGGTAATGTGGGTCCAGCTGATACATCCTCAAGTCTCTTTCTATCTACAAATTACTTAGCAGAAATAATTAATAATTAAGCTTCTTAATATCACTTTTACACTATTTTTTGTTCTAATGCATGTTCCCTTGTATTTTTATATGCTGTTTGTTAAACCAAATGATACAGTAGAAGCGATACATTTGGAATTTATCGAAACAATTATTTTTTCAAAAAATATTCCATAATTATTTTTGTAGACGGTGCCGCTTTCCTTCGGTGTCCACTGTACAAAATGCTACCTACTTTGGGATGCAGCGTCTCTTGATGAAGCAACCTCCCTGCCAAAAAATTCAGAATATGGATCAGTACAGGGTCATTTTGAATTCCCTTAGGCTGCAAGAAACATATCCAGCTTGGAATCAACTGGAGACAGATGCCTTATTTCCTAGCACCAGAATTTCCTGTGTAGAATATTTTCTACAGTTCTGGAAGTGATAGCTTGTGGGCATTTCTGTTTAATCACTTTATCTCCAAAATTGTGTGAACAATATCAGCTTAACGTGAGCCTTTCTGACACTAGAGAAACTAAACATGTGAAAATAGAGCTAATTCTCTTTTTAACTATCTGGGAGTAATTCTTCACAAAAGCCTGGACTGCTTTTTTGAAGTTTCTCCAAGCTTCTCTCCAGTCCTATTACACCAAAGATTAGGCCTGCAGCCTAATGGAAACAAAGCAACAGGATCCTGTCAATATCTACTACGACAATATAAGAAGAATTACACCCAGAGCCACATTTTGCTTCAAGTCTTTTCATTTAAAACATGTATAGCATTAAACTCTTGGGTAATAATGGGTAGCTAGAAGCATTAGTCTTAAGCTCATTAGGGATATGCACATTTGGGAAACCAATATATACCCTCTTTTGTGATTGAAAAGGAAGAGTTTTTCTCCAAAAGTTACCAAATAATACTACCAAGAAACACATGAATCTGGTATCATTTTAAAAACTTTCCAAGTATGCCTCCATATATTACTTTTGCAACTTAAAAAAGACTGTAAACCATCTTGGCAAAGAAGAATAAAGTGATCTGAATCACTCTAGCTGATGTTAAGGCTTATTGTGTAGCAAAAAGTAACCAAGACAGTGCATGATGGCAGAGAGATAGACATGTATGTCCATGGAACAGAATAGAGAACTCATAAATAGAAAATTTCTGGGGTGTAAGGCGGCAAAGAGTTCTTCCCTTGACATCAAAAATACATGCCATGAGAGAAAAAAATTGATAAACTGAACTTCCTCAAAATTAAAAGATTTGCTTTGCAGAGATTCTGTTAGGAAGATGAAAAGACAAGCCACAGATTGGGAGACCTGCATCCACATATCGGACAAGGAACTGAAACCTGGAATATATGGAGAAGAATACGTGACACCCTTCCAGAAAATGGCACTTCTCCATCCAAACTTGCTTCTTTTGGAGCTACCATTGTACAAGCTGAAGGATAAAGTGGAAAGGAAGCATCCCAGCTTTTCTCCATATTAAAAGAACTAAATTAGTAGACAAGCTAGGTCAATGGCAGTTTTAGAAAATGATATTTTGTGGCACTCTAAATACTTACATTACATAAACAGAGTAATGACGTATGGTACTCTGTCAGTACTATGCACAAGTTGAAACTAAAATTAATTTCCTACAAAACTATTTTAAAGTGGCATATTTATACACAAACAGAAGAGCAATGCAAAGCCCCTAGCAAGTGGGCAAAGATTCAGGGTTCAATCATAATCCAAAAGAGAACTGTTAAACCAAAGCTGTTTAACCCGTAAGAACAAAGTAGTGAGAACCATGTTGAAAGGCCAGTCCAGTGTGATTATGACAAAACTGAAAAAGAGAAAATTGTAATTTTGCAAATACAATTTAGTTTTGTTTAGGATAGGAATTCCAAAGGATACTCCTGAATTGAGTTTAGGATCCAAGGTCTAAAGGACAGAAAGGAAGCAGTAAAACTCTAAACAAACATTAAAAAAAAAAAAAAGCCAGAAGTCATAGTGTTGGGTCACTGAATCCCAGAGCAGTGAAAGAAGGCATTAGAGAACTCACATTTATGGAGGAGCTAAAACATGCCTCACACTATACACTTGCCATCATACTAAAACCTAAAATAACTTATGAGATTAGTAATTTATATTTCCATTTTGCAGACAATGAAATTGAGATTAAAGGAGTAATTAACAGTCCCAAGATTATAAGTCTCAAAACAGGTGTTGCCTAGCTCTTCCTCTGCATTGTAACAACAAAATGCTAATGTAAATGAATTAGACCTTAATATGGCTTCAATTTGTATCGTGAGCCACAAGAAACCTTAATATTCATTATTTTTTCTTTCTTTAAACTGAAGCTTTGAACTGAGCTAAATTTGATATGCCCATTCCTTCTTGTCAGATAGGGAGACTAATCCTTAGAAAAACCCAACGGCTTTTTTGAAGACACACATGGTAGGATGGATTTTTTACTCTGTGCAAGGGTCTGTCAGGTTCCAAGTGAAGTGCTCCTCCTATGACACAGAGACAACCTGTTGCTATAGCAGCTCTATTAGCATTATTTTATAATCCTCAAATCACTATAATCCTGAGTATGGTATTATCTGCTCTAGTCCCATTTCCAGAGTCAGTCCTAACAGAGCTGCTGTAGCAATGGCTGGTCTCTGTGCCCATTATCATTTGCAGGCATGCTAGTGAGTTTGCAAACAAGTGCTGCCTCTACTGGCTGAGATCATGAGCAAATTACATAGTCTTTACCGTGTTGCCCTTCCCTCATATATAAACAATGAGGAATAATAGTGCCACAGGATCCACCCCTTAAGTTTCAGTAAAAAAAAAAAAAAAAGCACTGGAATATATATATATATATATATATATATATATATATATATATATACACATACACACACACATATATATACATCTATATATAGTGCTCAATAATATATATGATTAGTAATAGTAGCAATATTAATAGTAGTAATGATTACTCATAAAGTAAGAAAGTATTAGGAATGTATAAGAAAAGATAGAAAATAAGGTAGGGAGGATGGCCAAAATATTCTATTTTAATCTGTTTTATTTTGAAATGTTCTGCCTGAGTGGATTAACAAAAAATGGCATTTCCACTGTTGCCTTTCATAGCAGTGATATATATCAAGGCTTTTATATACTGACAATAGAAACTAAGGCTAAAATTGATATTTATGTTGATATTATAAATGCTTAAAAATAAATATAAAGTATTATAATTTGCATTTTGTTCTTCCTTAGTTTTCAGAACAATTACAAATGTTTACCTTTATATAATACACATAATAGTTATTATATTGAAATATGGTCTTTCAGATATTTATTTTGTTATGTCATAGTATAGTATATTATTGTTATATTCAACTTTATAATTTTGGTATTCTGAAAAAAAGTAATAATGATTTTACATCATTGAAATACTGCAGTCGTCACAAAACAAAATTTTATGTTATTTCAAGCCAATTGGTGTTCATAATTTCTCTCTTTCTTATATTTTACCAGGTACAAAAATGATAATCCTTATTTTCATACTATCTGTTCTCACCTTTCTCTTGCATGTAAAATTCCTATTTGTTTATTAGCCACTCATTTAGTAAGCGAATACCTACTGAGCATCTCAATATGCTTATCATGGCATTGAAAAAGAGATAGGCCTTGCCCTCATGAGCTTACGGTCTAGTAAGAAAGACAAACATTGTCCAAGTCATTACAAACAACTAATTTAGATTTATAATTACCATTATGTGGCATATACAGAAAGAGATACTTACAACAGGTATACCTAACCCATTTTGGCGATCAATAAAGAACTTCCATAATAATGGGCTGTTAATTTGAGATCTGAAATTTGAAAAAAAAATAGATATTATGTGAGTGAACAGGTACAGATTTAGAAGGTAAATATTGTTCCAGAGTGAAGGAAAAATGGTGCATAAAAATTCTGAGTTAGTAAAAATACATGACACATTGAATAATTGAGAGAAGGATCTTGCCACTAATTCTTAAAGAACAATCTCACAGGTGGCCAGTGAGGCAATTATAGGGACCCAATCATACACCAATTTTAAACCAGATTAAGAAATTTAGGCTCTTTCCTATGTCTAACTATAAGCATTGGAAGACTTTTTAAAATAATAATGTGACAAAACTATACATTTTAGAAGATCAATTAGAGCTGTACAGGATGCAAAAAGTGACGAGGGAATACCAATTATGATACCAGTATAGAAGTCAGAAAAGAGAGATGGAAAGCAGAAATAGAAGGATGACAGTGACAGTTTGGGGAAGTGGAGGGTTAGCTGGCCATGTAGGGATAAACAGAGTGAGGAAAAAGATGAAATCAACTTTTATCTTCCTGATTGGAGCAACTGAGTATACCATAAGATTAAATGAAAAATAGCATACTGAAAAAGGTGACACAATAAAAGTAAAGGAAAAAAAGTGAACTAAGCATGATGTGTTCTTTCTTCAAAAATCACTGATCAGATAACTCTCTTTTCTTATGGCAAGGAGTAACTGAGAGGTTAGAAAGAGAACAAGAATGCTACCTTAAAATAATTCATTTTACACCTCTGGGAATTTCAGAGAAACTCCAGCTTAATAAACTTTTGGCTTGTTCAGTATAAATTATACCGATGGATGGATGTATAGGTAAAGATGGATAGATGGATAGATAGATAGATAGATAGATAGATAGATAGATAGATAGATAGATAGATAGATCGGATAGACAGGAAGACACAGTTGAAGCTCAAAAGGGTACATACTAGAAATACATACTTCCTAGCTTTGTCAAGACATGGTAAAACATGAAAGACAGGGTAAATTGAAAATAGAGTTGAGAAAGAAGGCATGAGGAAATTCAGTGTTGAAAGATGGTATACACATATAAACCAATGGAAGGAATTTTAAAAGTAGGAAAAATACTTGAAGAAAGTGGGATCAAATTTAAAGAGAAGATATTGTGTCAATGAGCATATCATTTATTCAGAAAGATAGTCAGAGGCTACACAAGAAGACTGAGAAGTGGCCACTGCATCAGAGTGACGTGGAGGTCACTGGAGCCATTTACTAGGGTGGTTTCAGTTGAATGGTAGATGTGCAAATGACAGACAATTAAATAGAAACAAAGGTTTCAGAAAATTAGGCTGAAGAAAGAAGAACATAAAAGTCTATCTGAAGTTATAGGTATCTTAAATAGAGGCCTTTTTTGTCGTATTGGAATGTTTTTAATATGTATAAATATAGATGAGAAGAGCTAGTCCCATTTTAACAGTTGAAGATACTAGATAGAAAGGGAAGGGGAATGAAATAATCTAAAGAACAATTTAAACACTTTATTTTTAGAAAGGAAGAGTGACAACTCCAGTATTGTGGCAGAAAGAAAAGAATAGAGAAGGTGTAAAAATATATACTGGTTTGTAGATTAGTAATGGGAATCTGAACTAATTTATTTCTTATATTTCCTCTTTTCTGTCTGAAGAGAAAGTGTGAGTTTCGACTAACGGTGTAGAATGTGATGAGAATAATGGACAGTTTTACAAAGCTGTAAAAGTTATTTTAAGTCACTGATTGCACAAGTCATCACAGGGGCACTGATGCGCGTGATTAGAAATGAACCATTCTATTGATCTACCTGGTGGTTCGGTATGCATCCATTAAGGCTCAGAAATCTGAATGCAGGCATTAAGAAGGCTAACATTATATACTTCTAGGTTTTGAGTTTCACTGGAGAATTTAGGCATATATTTGGGGTAAGGGGGAAATCCCAGTAAGATATTATGAAAGAAAACAAGATACCAGGGGAAGGACATTTGCTGTAGTAGTAACTGAGAGGGAAAATGAAAGATTGGAGACTGTGTTTCACTGTAGAATTTAGGCATATAGTTGGGGTTAGGAGGATATCCAAAAAAGATAATATGTAAAAAAAACCATATATAAGAGGAAGAACATTTTCTGTAATAGTAGCTGAGAAGGAAAATGAAAAGTTTAGAGACTGTGTTTGGGGAGCCAAATGTTTGTCACAATTTCTGAGGTTAAACACTATTAAAGACTGATGCTCTAGAGTGTGACTATGGTCACAGGAAAAGTTGATGAAATGGAAGATAAATCTATAAGACTAAAGTTTCCCAAAAAACTAAAGGCCAGCTTGTTGAATAATCTCTTCTGCGTGATCTAAATGGTGGAAAAACTTGGGGTGGAGATGAAGTGTAAGCACATATGATCTGTGTAATAACAATGACCCAGGGTGGAAAAGCAACACATCTATTACTGGTTTATACCACTATGCTCCATTTTACTCTTCTGCCAATGATAATCTGTCTAGCCTAGATGAATCCTTTCTCATATGACCAATATTTCTTATGTACAATTTCTATCTAATAGAATATGTGAAATAGAAAACTAGGTTATAGAAACTGAAAGCTAAACTTGGTAGAGAATCCAGCCTACCAACTTATTTTATCAATGCAAGAGGCCAGGAATGTTTAAATATGTGTTTAAATTTACAGAAGTAGTAGCAGATTAAAGTTAAGCTCAGTTATCTGATTGTGTCTGTCATGTGTTCATCCCAAATAATTTAACAAGTGAAAAAAATTATTTAACAGGAAAAATATAACCCATCTTCAAATAAAGAAATGTAATATCAGTAAGAAGATACAATCTCTCTGTAAGTGACATCACTCAAAAATTTAGACATGCAATAAACTGTAGTATTTCATTGCCAAGCTATAAAATAAGATCAATATTGGTACCAATTGAAACAACATCAGACAGAGGTAGGTTAGAAAGTAAATGTGTGACAAAAAGAGTGTGCTCAAGGAGATAATGACCTTAGGTATCTAATTATAAAAATAGTCACATAAAAATTAAAAGTAACACATAAATACCAGTAAAAGGTCCATAGGTCCCTGAATTTGCTGTTAATATTTAATACATATAATTTATAACAGATGATGGAAGTCAGAGGTGACACAAAAGGTGAGGAATAATCATAGCATTTCAAGGGCTAAGTGGAGGCTCCCTATTTTGGTGTACCTAAAGATAATCAAGGAATATAATATGCACATTTCTCTTAAAACTTTGACTAATGTAACACTTTTTTAGATATTTTATATTTTCAGGTTAAGTTTACTTACCTGCCTGTGCTATTATCATTTTTATGAATAAAAAGAATATAAGAAAACTTTTATTTTAACATTGAAAAAATACTCTTAAAAGCAGCATTGAGAACAAAAACTGAATATTGACTGTTTGAACAATATATAGTTTCAGATAATGCTATGTAAATAATATCAAAGTCAGTTTTTGCCAAATACTTTTTAATATTATAAAAATAACACAATGATGGCAAGCTTTAAACCAAAAGTATCCAAATCTCTTGTTACAGAATTGGGAGTAGGAAATAATAGAGTGCTATATTTTATGAATGGGGTAGTTTTATTTTAAATGAGCTAAAATGGATATTCCAAACTTTAAAAAGATGATAACATTGATCCCCATGTCTTCACAGATTTTGACTTAACCATGGTAAATTAAATTAGATATTAAAAAAGAAAAATTCTGATGAAAATAAACTTACCTAGAGAGAGAAGTATTTATTTTAGGCAATATATGTAAAAGTCTTGAGTTCAACAATGGCAGAGTTTCAGGGAGAAGATGATTTCAGATTTTGTATTAAAATGATTGTCAGCCAACTGAAATTTTGTGTGATAACGAAAAAAAATAAGAATAGCAAGATTCCAAATATAAAATATTTATTTCTTAATATGATGATATGTTAAAATCACAACATACCATTTCCAACATACATTTGAAAATGCTTTAAATAACCTCATTGATTTCAGACAAATACTATTTATTGACTAGCCATTTTCACCACCCTAGGTGCTAAGGAAGCAAAATAAAGTAACACATTTTTTGAGTAATGTTCTTTGAGTGTCTTCAGTGAATTTATTATTTTTGATAAGATAACCATAAAACTAAAAGTAATGCAACAGATAATGAAGACATTAAATCCCATGGATTGATTTTATTTTCTAAGAATATTAACATAAATATGAGAGGTATTAATATGATACAAATCAGGGTCATACAATAACTACACTCTTCAGGATGCATAAATATTAGCCAAAACACAGCTACTCTGGTCATGACTGAGAGAATACATATAGCTAACACACAAAGTTTTAACCTGGGATTCAAATAGAGTACAAGGTTCATAGGATAATAGTTCAGAAGAGAAAAAAAATGGAATTGGAGAATGCAAACGAAATAGCTTTACGACCATCTCATTACAGGGGTGACTTAAAAAATATGGGATAAAGGAAATGGGAGAAACTAAATGACTATGTTGCAATCTTTCTGCTTGCCAAGAGCAAGTAATGATGACTCCCACCAGGGAAAGCTAAATTGAGAGTTGAGAAATAGCATCAAATAGACATAAAAATGGAAGATACTGTGTATTTTAAACAAGGAAAAGTGCTTCCATTAGGCTCTTTTATATAAACCATTTTCTATTTGTTCATTATGTGCAACTCAATCATTATTACATAGGAAAGGAAACTAAGTCTTATATCCATCATATACTTACTGAAATGGAAAAAATAATACAAAAATGTAATGCTGTGAAAAGAGTAATTTTCCAGTTATACTAGACCTGAAATGAATCAATAAAAGAAGAAAAGGAGCAGCAGCATGTGAACACAGGAAAAAAAGTTCTGAATAAACTAGTTAGCCCAGAAAAGTGGTAAGAAGAGGAGGGAATGGGAATTATAACATTAGGCTCAGAAAGGATTGTTTTTCAACCTATGGCAAGCTGATGCCCTAAAGCAATAAAAGAAATTTATAAAATTTCTTGTGACCAGCCCAAGTCACAATGTAGGGATGAGAGGTCTATTACATACGTTTGTCAAGAATGCCCAAAGATCATGGTTCTGAGCACATATAAAATAACATATTAAACAAATAATAGATTGTGACCTTTCAGTGGACCAAGGTTTACTCAGACTCCCTATCAAGACAGCAAAAGAAGACAGAAAAGATTGATTACATACTAGCTCATATCAAAATGGAAGGCTACTTCAGTGTGAAAATAAATTGCAATGCAAACATAGGAAGGAAAGTGCATTTATATAAAATTTTTCTATCTCTAGTTTGCTGAAAACAGAACAATAAATATGTTTCCTAATAAAATATATTTTTTCCATTTTAAAATGCAGACTCTTAGTTGATTGAGCTCTTGCCTTATTAATGATGAAGAGACAAGCTTCTGACCACAATGGAGTAAGAAGGACTGAATTCAACTTCCTATCATAAACAACTGGACAAACTAGACAAAATATATGAAACAGCTGCTTTCAGTCATTAGACAACTGGCAGTGTGGAACTGTGATCAGTGAAAGAAAAGAAACAAATGATGTAAACCCTATGACTTCCTCCAAATCTTGCCTGGTGCACATTACCAAACAAGAATCAGGAAGGAAAAGTCTGAGAGTGCCATTTTGTTAAACTGGGAAGCTGGAGATTGTATTTCACAGATTTTGTGGCACTTGAAAGTTGAAGAGCTAAATTCCAGAAAGGAGGAGCTGAATAGTCCTACTTTCAAAAAAGTTCCAGAAATTTCCATTCCTTATCCCTGTGATTCTTGATTGACTACTGAATTAGTCAGACTTCTCTAAAAAAACACAGCCAATGAGAGAGACAGAGGGAAAGAGAGACATTTTAAGGAATTGGCTGGCAGACAGAAATCTCAAGTAGTTGTTGGTGCTACAGGCATGGGGTAGAATCTTTCCTCCTCCAGAAAACATCAGTTTTTACTCTTAAGGCCTTCAATTTGATTGGTTGGGGCTCACCCACATTATCAAGAGTAATCTTAAAATCAACTGACTGTAGATGTTAACCACATCCACAAAACACCTTCACTTACTAGTGTTTGATTAAATAACTGGGTACCCTAGTCAAACCACTTTGACACATAAAATTAACCATCACAACTACTGGTATGTACTGTATAATGATGTTTTGGTCCACAGTGGATGGCACTTAAAATGGAGGTCCCATAAAATTATAATATCATATTTTTACTGTTCCTTTTCTATGTTTAGATATGGAAATACCATTGTATTGAAATCACCTGCAGTATTCAGTACAGTAACATGCTGTACAGGTTTGTAGCCTAGTAGCAATAGGCTATACCACATAGCCTAGGTGTATAGTAGTCTATTCCATCTAGGTTTGTGTAAGCACACTCTATGATGTTCACACAATGATAAAGTCACCTAATGATACACATCTCAGAATGTATATCCATTGTTAAGTGATGCATGACTGTACTAAATTGCAGAAACATGGGGTGAAACTCCACAAGGCAGAGCAACCAGAAAGCTGTGAGCTGAACCACACGCATACAGTCAAATGATTCAAATTTCAATTAACCAGAGACAAGAGTTCCTATTAACCATAAAGGACATTCGGTACAGACCACAGAAAGACACTCCTTAGTAGAGGAACCAAACTGTAGACTTAATAAAAGCTACCCCAAATCAACCAAATGAATATTAAAAACATGTATCAAAAGTAACAAATAGAATCACTGGTAATTTAATTCCCTATCAGTCCAAAGCTCAACATTGTTTAAAGGAAGAAAATGATGTCCAGACACGGAGTCATGATGTTCAGAATACAATTTAAAAGAATGCTAGCCGTAGCAAGAAGCAGGAAAATGTGACAAAAAAATTTGTTAATGAAAACACACCTAGAAAGAAAAAATAAAATAGAGTTAGCAGACAAGGACACTGAAATATCTATTATCATTAGGTAAAAGTATTTAAAGGAAAAGATGAACATATTGAGAAGAGAAATGGAAGTTATAAAAAAGGCCTAAATAAACTTTCTAATAGATGAAAAGTACAACATTGAAGATGAAAATTCACAGAATGGACTTGAAAGCAGCTTAGGTACTGCAGAACATAGGCTCACTATACATAATAATGTAGAAATAGAAAATATTCACAATAAAGCACGGTGAAGAAAAGGATGGATAAAAATGAACGAAGCTGTAGTGACCAATGTAACACCACCAACTGACCTAAATACGTATACTTGGAATATCAGAAGGAGAAGAGAGAGGAAAGTTATTATTTCAGTTTTCAACATTCATGCTTCTATTGGTTTTAGATTTAACAAAAAGACAGAAAATCTGTAAAAATATAGAACACTAAAAGGACATTAAAAAGAAAATTGATCTAATTGATATTTATAGAACATGTCACCCAGCAATAGCTGAGTATTCAATGTTTTCAAATTCTCTGTTAAAAAAAGTCCAAATTATGTCCTTTGACTAGGACATTAAACTATAAATCAATACATTAAAAAACTAGAAATCAATAAAGTTATCTGGAAATTCCTATATACCTTGAAATTAAACAACAACCTAAATGAAACATGGATAAAAAAAAAACAACTTGCAATGGAAAGTATAAGCCATTTTAACCTGAGTGAAACTGAAAGCACGAGAAATATATAAAAAAATATGTATTTTTTGAGACAGGGTCTCGCTCTGTCATCTAGGCTTGAAGGCAAAGGCATGATTACAGCTCACTGCTGCGTCGACCTCCCATGCTCAAGTGATGCTCCTGCCTCAGCCTCCCCAGTAGTCAGGACCAAAGGCAGGAACCATGACTCCTGGCTAATTTTTAATTTTTTGTAGAGATGAGTTCTCATTATTTTACCTAGGCTGGTCTTTAACTCCGGGGCTCAAGCAATCCTCTCGCCTTGGCCTTCCAAAATTCTGGGATTACAGGCATGAGCCAGCCAGCATGCCCAGCCAGAAATCAAAATTTTAGGATACACAAAAATGAGTGCTTTCAGTAAAATGTATAGATTTACAAGTTATATAAGTAAAATAGAAATATCTCAAATCCATGGCTTAAGTTTTTACCCAAAATAGCTGAGAATGGAAGAAAATATTAAATGCAAATAAAGTTAAGTACAAGAAATAATAAACATAAAAGCAAGGATTAGTATAATAAAAAATATAAAATTAATAAAGAATATCAATGAAACCAAAAGCAGTTAAAAAAAAAAGATCAGTAATATTGATAAAACTTATGGCAGACTGACCAGAGGGAAAAAAAATGACTGGTATCTGAAATAAAAGAAAAAAAATCAGTATACATTCTATAGTCAGTAAAGGATAATATAGATACTATAGCCAGTAAAAGGAAACATTATAAATAACTTATTGGCAATAAATTTAACAACTTAGATGAAATAGACAAATTCCTTAGAAGACATAAACTGACAAAGTGGACTTTAAAATACAGAAAGTATGAATAGGACTAAATACATTAAAGAAATTATATTTTTAATTAAAAATTCCTTGACAATACACTTTACAAGTTCAACATCAGGCCTAGAAGGATTTATTGGCATATTCTACCAAAAACATAAGAAATAATGCCAATTCTACACATTTTTTAAGAAATTAGAACACTCATTTTATGAGACAAAACTAAATAAATAGGAAAGTGGTTGGTTAAATCTTAATTTTATCAATAATTATGTTAACTATAAGTGGGCAAAATACTGTAGTTAGAAGTCGAATTTGTCAGACGGCATAAAAAGCAATATCCAAATATATGCTATCAATAAGAAAAAAAACACTTTAAATACAAAAAGCAGGAAAGTTAAAAGATTGGAAAAAGATATACCATGTTTACTACCAGAGGCAGAAAAATACAATGTATCCCTTCCATTTCCTATTAACGGCCCCCATTTGCAGAATGTAACTAGAATCTGATTGCAGTAGAAACATTCATAAAGGTGGAATGGAGCTGTTGCAACAAAGAGCAGACATATCTTCACACTGAAAAACAAATTAAGATGAGAGAATTCCCTTGTCCCTTTGTGGGACCCCCCATGAAGCGGGTGGCTCATTTACTTGGCTGCTATGTGCGCAAACACTTTATGAGAGGACACCGCACAGGTTAGCCAGGGTGGGCGCTTTTTGGCTCCAGCCCCACGGCAGTATGACAACCTTTTACACACTGCTCTCTTGATGCCTGGGTCCTTGTCCAGCATCCAGGAAGAATCAGGTCACACCGACTTGAAGGATGGTGAATGCAGGGATTTTACTGAGTGATGGAGGTGGCTCTCAGTGGGATGGATGGGGAGCTGGAAAGGGGATGGTGTGGGAAGATTATCTTCTCTTGGAGTCTGGCCATCTTGTGGATGATCTCCTCTCTGACTGTCCCCAGCTGAGCTCCTTTTTTTTTTTTTTTTTTTTTTTTTTTATATTTTTGAGATAGAGTTTTTGCTCTTGTCGCTCAGGTTGGAGTGCAATGGTGTGATCTCAGCTCACTGCAACTTCCACCTCCCAGATTCAAGTGATTCTCCTGCCTCAGCCTCCCAAGTAGCTGAGATTACAGGTGCCTGCCGCCACACCTGGCTAATTTTTGTATTTTTAGTAGAGACATGGTTTCACCATGTTAGTTAGGCTGGTCTCGAACTCCTGACCTCAAGTGATCCACCCACCTTGGCCTCCCAAAGTACTGGAATTACAGGCATGTGCCACTGCTCCCAGCTTGAACTCTTCTTCATGTTCAGATGCTTCTCCTCTTCTCTATTTCTCTGCTGCACCACTCTGCTGCTCTGCCAGTGGAGCTTGGGGTTTATATGGGCACAAGATAGGGGCATGGCAGGCCAGAGTGGTCTTGGAAAAGGCAACATTTGGCCGCAAAAACAGGAATGCCTGTTCTCATTTAGGGCTGCAGGTTTCCAGGCTTGAGGGTGGGGCCTTTGCTGTGAAACCTCTCTCTCTTTTTTTATTTTTTTTTTTTCTTTTATTATTATACTCATGTGCACATTGTACAGGTTAGTTACATATGTATACATGTGCCACGCTGGTGTGCTGCACCCACTAACTCGTCATCTAGCATTAGGTATATCTCCCAATGCTATCCCTCCCCCCTCCCCCCAGTTCATGTCCTTTGTAGGGACATGGATGAAATTGGAAATCATCATTCTCAGTAAACTATCGCAAGAACAAAAAACCAAACACCGCATATTCTCACTCATAGGTGGGAATTGAACAATGAGATCACATGGACACAGGAAGGGGAACCTCTCTCTTCTACCCAGTATTTCCCTGCCTCCTGTCTCTATCATCATTTCCCTCTGAAGAGGCACATCGAACTCCCATTAGAATATGGACAACAACCAATCTTAGTTACTTCCTGCTGACAGGGCATTGTTTTGGGGAAAATGGCAGTCAGATTCCTCCCAGAGGTCTTATCTGCGGGTCCCTGGCAAAAGGGAGCTATCATCTGAGGCTCCAGTTGACTGACCATTTGGAGTTTGATAGCCTCTAGGTGAGAGAAAAAACAAACAAACAAACAAACAAACAAACAAAAAACCAAGCTTTATAAGGTTAAGTATGCATGAGTTAAACATGTGTATTATAGAAGAAAATAATCTAGTGACAAAGATTAACAGAAATAAGAAGTAAAATATACTAACAATTTGTACCCCAAGATGTTTCATTCTGGTGAAAGAAATTAAACCTTCTATGGGAGCAGTTAAATTTTAGAAGAGAGATAACCGTTCTTGCCACACCTGTAGCAGTTAATAGGTGCACCCTGAGAATTATGGGGCTTATGGGCTTATATGATGGCCATCAAAGCTTCTGTCTCTTTCTTGTGTCTCCCTATCTCTATTGTAAAAGATCAAGGTGGCCACTTTCAGGAGGTCGTCTAATGTACTATCCAGGTCCAGGACCTGTTTCTGTGACTTCCTCCTGATATCAGGTGCTGCTTGAGTAATAAATTTATCCTCCAGGATTAGGTGTCCCTTGACAGAATCAGAAGATAGAGAGGTGTGCTTTACCAAGGCCCCTCTTGGCCTTTCCAGAAAGGCAGTGGGATTCTAATCACATCCTTGGTCTATCATGGCTAACTTGGTATAATTGAGAGGCTTGGTCCTGGTCGTACGTAAGCCCTCCATTATGAACACCTGAAAGTTTCTCCTCTTCCAATTTCCAATCTTGTCCTTGGGATCCCATCCAGAGTCATTCATTGGTACTGCATCTCTTCCAGTTGGATAAAGTTAGCCCATTCCCTGATAATATATGTGATAAAAAAAAACTCATGCCCAAATTTCTCTGCTGCTTGCAAGTTGGCCTGATTCTCAGTGTTCATCAAGGTCTGATTCAAAAGTAACATAATGTCGGCCGGGCGTGGTGGCTCATGCCTGTAATCCCAGCACCTTGGGAGGCTGAGGTGGGTGGATCACGAGGTCAGGATTTCGAAACCAGCCTGGCCAATATGGTGAAACCCCGTCTCCAGTAAAAATACAAAAATTAGCCCGGCGTTGTGGCACATGCCTGTAGTCCCAGCTACTCGGGAGGCTGAGGCAGAAGAATCGCTTGAACCCAGGAGGCGGAGGTCACAGTGAGCCAAGATCACACCACTGCACTCCAGCCTGGCGACAGAGTGAGACTCTGTCACACACACACAAAAAGTAACACAATGTCTTTCCAGGAGAGTTCAAATACCTGCGTTAAATTCTGGAAAGCTTCTATATATCTGTCAGGGTCATCTGAAAACTTGCCAAAATCCCCCTTAAATTGTTTTAAGTCCTATAGAAAAAAGGAGACCTAAACCCTACTGAGGCCAAATTCACCAGGCATCTGTTCAAGTGGCAAGATTGAAACTGGGGCATGCCTATGGTGGGGACTTCCAGGAGGGGGAAAGTGAGAGACTGAAGCTGGATAAGGAGGTCGGGGTGGACCTGGAGGAGTGGGGCTGGAGGGAGCTGGCTTCTCTGCTGGCGGTGCCTCTGGGATTTATTTCTTTTCTTTTTTTTTTTTTTTTTTTTTGAGACAGAGTCTCACTGTGTCGCCGAGGCTGGAGTGCAGTGGCACAATGTTGGCTCACTGCAACCTCCGTCTCCTGGGTTCAAGCAATTCTCCTGCCTCAGCCTCCCAAGTAGCTGGGATTACAGGTGCCCACCCCCAAGCCCGGCTAGTTTTTGTATTTTTAGTACAGACAGGATTTCACCATATTGGCCAGGCTGGTCTCGAACTCTTGACCTCAGGTGATCCACCCACCTCTGCCTCCCAAAGTGCTGGGATTACAGAAGTGAGCCACCATGCCCGGCCCAATTCATTTCTTTAGCTTCCAGGGATTGCTGCTTGCAGCCTCTCCTGAGATGGCAAACAGGAGGGCTGAATTGATCCTACACTGTTGACAAAGGTCTGGATTGCTCTGCAAGGTATAGAAAGCTTGCACATATAGGGCCTCAGACCATCTGTCTTCATGCCTACAGAAAAGGTCCAACTTCTGGATGGTATCAAAATAAATGATTCCTTCCTGAGGCCAAGCTAGTCTGTTATAATTTGGCCAAACCTTTGTGCAGAGGGCTATGAGGTATTTTTCCTCCAGAGTCAGAGGGTCAAAGCAGTCTCAGTGGTTCAGGATACACTCCAGAGGATTATAAACTGGGGATGGTAAAGATAGCCAGTTGTCCATTCTGAAAGACAGGGTAGTAAAGGTGTCCTTCATTTCCCTTCTTTCTTTCCATGATAACTCAGGGTGTGATGGAGAGAAAGTGGGCATCCCCTCTCTCTCTTCCATCTTTTTGTCCCCAAGTCCTGGAGACCTTGGCAGGTGCCACCCATGGGTGCCAAAGTGGCTTTCACCCATGTTAACAAGGGGCCCCAGGGGCTGGGAGTATCTGCTCCTACCCACATATGCCCTATTTCCCCTGCTGTTGACAATCTTTGAGTTTCCTGAGCCTCATCCATGTCATGGGGCATGGCCTCCTTCCATGAAGCAAGGGTTTAGTCAGCAGAAATTGGTCCTGTACATTTACATTGTGCCCGTTAGTGGCTTTGGATCCCTTAGATCTGGTTTTCCTCTCTAGGGCCTCAGCCTAAAGCCTGGGATCAAATTTGGGACAAAAAAGTATTTCAGGGACTGCATGGATCTGTTTAGATTAAGTCTGAAATGTGTGCCTGTCTGCACACACTCCTGTGACCATTGGGGTGAGGGTTGGGGTCACACCTCTAAGAACAAATGGAAACCACTTTATTCTGAATCGCACCTCTGATGGCTGGGCCAAATGCTCATTCTACTTAATATTATTGCTGCTGTCTGTAGCAAAACCCTTAACATTATAAAGGAAGAAATAGGAGTCATTTCAAACTGTGAATAAAGAAGAGATGCCATAGCAAGATCTGGGGATCTTGACCAATGCCCGCCTGTGGTTGGGAACTAGTAGCCAGTCCAGTGGCTATCCAGTGCAGCCAGGAATGGCTTCAGCCAGATGCCTTCAGCTGCCCTAGGGCCTCGTCCTGGTTCCATATGATGGCTAACTCCCCATGAAGAGAAACAGAGCCAACATTCCTTTCACCCAAAAGAAAGAGAAGAGTGGCAAGGTCTTGGAAAAGAGGCAGATTCAACAGTTCCACATCTGTACTCATCTGCGTGCTTGATTCCGAGCGAGACCACAGAGAAAATGGGAGAATTCCCTTGGCCCCTTCAGGGGACCCGTCATGAAGGGAGTCACTTGTTTACTTGGCTGCCGCATGCTCAAACTCCTTATGGGAGGGGGAGAACACAGGTGAGCCGAGGAGAGTGCATTTTGGCTCTGGCCCCATGGCAGTGTCTAGGAGTGTTACAATGCTCTTTTAGCTTTGCCATCTGTGGATGGCTAAATATTAACCAGCTCAGTGGAGAGTCAGGGTGACAGCCTTTTACACGCTGACCTCTTGGTACCTGGGTCCTTGTCCAGCATCCAGGGAAAATCAGATCACACAGACTTGAAGGATGATGAATGCAAGGATTATATTGTGCGATAGAGGTAGCTTTCAGTAGGATGAATGGGGAGCTGGAAAGGGGATGGAGTGGAAAGATGATCTGATCTTCCCCTTGAGTTCAGCTGTCCCCTAGCCAATCTCCTCTAGAACCATCCCTGGCTGAACTTCTCTGAATGTTCAGACACTCCTTCTCTTCTCTCCTTCTCTGCCACACCACTCTGCCACTCTGCCGGTGGAGCTTGGGGTTTATATGGGCACAAGATAGAAGCATGGCAGGCCAGAGTGGTCTTGGAAAAGGCAATATCTGGATGCAAAAACAGGAATGCCTGTTCCCTTTTAGGGCTGTAGGTTTCCAGGCTTGAGGGTGGGGCTATTGCTGGGGAGCCATCCTCTTCTACCCCGTATTTTTCTGCCTCCTGTCTGTATCAAAATTACTTGCAAGGAATAGTTTGGGTGTAGAGAGCTAGAAGTAAATAAAAACAGCATCTAATTTCCTCATTTTAAGAAGCAAAGATAAGAAAAAATATATTTAGATTTGGAATAACAAGAAATAGATATCTAAGAATAAGTAGAGACAAACATCAGAAGAAATCAGAATTTTGCTAATACAAGAAACAAGTTCATAAAGTATTCAGATGTACAAATCAGGTAAGTAAACCAATTTCCTGGTCTTTCAGAGCAGAGACTGATAAGATCAAAAATAGAGGTACACATATTTTCATTAGAATTGTGTTGGCAACATTTATAGGAACTAAAAACATACAAAAAATAAAGCAAATAATTTCTGGGAATTGGGCCTTGAAGTGGAGGTGAGATGTTAAGAAATATTTACTATTATCTAATCATTTTATTACGTGCCTTGTGCTTTTATCATGGGCATTAAGCCAATGGTATCCCTGAGACTGTACAGGGCAGAGTTCTAGCTCTTTTTTTGTCTAATAAATTCATACAAGTTGTTTTTGTTACTATGTGCTAGACACTATTTCAGTCACCAGAAACTCACACACACACACAAACACACATATGTATATATGTGTGTATATATGTATGTGTGTGTGTGTGTGTGTGTGTATATATATATATAAAAATGAACAAAACAGGCAAGCTCTTTCATGAGATTTAATTCTGAAAGTGGACCTGAGATTTCCACAGACATATATATTTCTAGAAGTAGTGGAAAGATACTATTAGACTCTAAGAAAGCTAAAGTAGCTGACACTATAGGAGGAAGAGATAAACTTAACAATGGACTTCCTAGTGGAGCCTTTTGACGGCTGAGTCCTAAGAATCTGCACTTTCAGGATTCCTCATAATGGATGAGGGGAATATTTGATCAGAAACCCAAATGGTAATGACACACACCTCACAAATGAAGTTAAAATGACCAAATCTTCAGTTATCTTCTGCTTGGAAAATAGAACATAGGAGTTAAACGGTATCTAAGAAACTACTGCATTGATTTTGCAGATGTAGAAACTGAGACTTTAAGAAATTATATGAATGATCCAAGTTGTTAAAAGGAGACTTCCATCAAAAATCTACATTTGCCTTGCAAACTTATTCTGTTTTCATTCCGCCAGAGGTATAAGGTAAAGCTTTATTTTAAAAATTGGAATGTCACTTCTCATTATATTTATTGTAAGTGTGCCCAACAAATGGCTAAGCAGAAGGTAAAGTCAATAAGTACGGTGAAATAAATAACTTGGAGTCAGAATCTTAAGAATCTATTCTTGGCTTCTTCTCCAACATGTTTGATGATCATCGGCAAGTCACTTAACCTCCTTGTACTTCAGTAAAAGTGAAGACAAAAGCAAATACTCTGACATATTGTGAGATTCTATGACTAATGGTTCTAACCGATTCAGAATGAGTCAATATCCACGTGCATCTATCATAGGTAATAGGCATTATTAGACTCCCACACAGGATCATAAATATACTTCTTACACCAACAATTTGAAATGTCTCCTGTTACATATAAAACTCTATAGGCTTTATCTTTCTTGTAAAGTGTATTTAGAGACAAGCAAGCCTATTTCCAAGTTAGTTTCAACAGAGGTGTGCAGAAGAAAAAGTTTCTCTTAGTGGACAAACATGTAGTGCCCCTGTGAGCATCCTCAACAAATAAAAATGTCTCTTCTACCCTGCTCAATGTTCTCAGTGAATAATTAGAGTTGATAATTCCACAATTTCATGGTAATTATGTAGAGCTTTTGGAAGGAAAATTCATTTTATATCAGGTATTGAATTAATTCATCAGTCATGTTCCCTAGGGTGTGTTAATCTCTGTACATACAATCATTATAATCATCATCATAACCATCATCATCCTGAACATCCCTAGAGATGACCCTTAAATAGGGGGATATGAAAGGCAGTGGATTAAAGTGGAGTAAAGTGAGCAAATAGAAAATTCTGGATAGATTCTGTATTTTTATCTGATCTTTTTGAAAAGCACATCTTCAATGGTGCAACTGTTATTGGCTTTTCCTTTTTTCTATCCCATTCTACCTGCTCACTTATTTCTTCTTCCAGGAAACATTTCTAAATACACTATACACAGCCATGCTTTTGTCTCATGTTCTGCTTTCTGAAAAAAACTAAATTAAGAGATCTATATACTTATGCATTGACTAGCATCCCTCTTACCTGCTTAAGAATTTCATTCAGGTTATTTCCTGCTGCTCTGTTTTTTTTTTAATTGCATCAGAATTGTTCTCTTTTATATTTTCCATTGTCATAGAATCATGTTCTAATACTCCTATCATAGCAAACAACTTTTCTTTTAGATATATCCCCCCATCTACTTTTACTTTCTTTCCCTATCCCTCATCTCCACAAAGCTCCTACAAGATTTGCCATTGCTCTGTATTACCACTGCATCTTTTTTATTCTAAACCTGCCTCAAACAGATTTTTGTCTCCACTACTCCATTAAAATTTCATTCTAACACCACTGAGCTCTACATCGCCAAATCCAATGGTTAATAATTATTCAGAATTTTATAGCACTAACATTTAAGATAATTGATTACTCTTTCTTAAAACATTTCCTTCACTTGACCCCTGGGACAACATGAAGTCCTGCCTTTAAAAACAACAACAACAATAACAACAACTTTTTCTTTTTTTCAGGCTCTTTTTGTGTATCCTCTTAATTTTTTTTTTGACTTTTCAAGTTTGGAGTCTCCAACATTGAGTACCTCGTCACTTATCCATGACTCTTATGTCATTAGTGATGTCATCCATCCCCATACTTTTGAATATCATTGATATGTTGATATTATGTAACTTTTTTTTCTGCCTCAACCTCTTGAACTACTACTTTCATTTGGTTTTTGAACAGGTATTGTACACTTAACATACTACAAGTTTTCATTACCACTCTTCCTTAATTTTCCCAATTGCTTAAGCCAAAAGTCTTGACATCCCTCTTTTTAATAAAATTTCCTTCCAATCACCACTAGCAATTCCTAGTGGCACTATTTTGAAAATATGTCCCAAATCTGATCAATTCCCACCACTTGCCCACTAGTCCCTAAACGATTGTGGTAGCTGATTGATTCTGGTGTTTTCACTGTTTGACACTCCCAGAGAATTTTTTACACACTGCTGCCAGAATGAAACTTTTAAATGCAATTCTGGCCAACTTATCCCATGTTCTAAATTCTCTGACTTCCTCTTATGATTACTGTGGCCTATAAGTCCCTAGATTATCTGGTGCTGGCAACATCTCTAAATTCATCTCCTACTTGGCAACCGAGTTCCAGCCATGTTGGCCTCTTTGCACACAGCTGAATACATTACTTAAGCTTCCATCTTAGGGCATTTATATTTCTTCTCTTGCCTGGAATGCTCCTCTCTTTATCCTTTTTATAATCAGGGAAGGTTTGCTTACCCTACTTAGATCTCATATTTTATCCCTTCATCCCTTTATCAGAGAGGACTCTCCCTAATCAGCCTAAAATACAACCCCAACCACATCACTTTCTATCCACCCCATTATCATGTTCATTAATAGGATAAAAATAGTGTATATATTTTAAGTGTATTTCTTCTCTCTGACTGAATGCTAGGAGGCCTTTTAGAATAGGAAGAACATTAATTTAGGGTCATATAATCCTTAATTTCTGTCCTATCACTTACCTGAAATGTTATTTTAGACAAGTTACTTGGTTTAATCTCAACTGAAGATAGCAATCCCTAGCATATTCTAACAGCGCTTTAGTCATTACATAGAAGGACAAATCCAAAAAACTATTTAGTTAGTTATTTTGGGTAATTCTTTTTTTTTTTTTTTTTTTTTTTTTGAGTTGGAGTCTCTCTCTGTCGCCCAGGCTGGAGTGCAGTGGTGCGACCTCGGCTTACTGCAAGCTCTGCCTCCTGGGTTCACGCTATTCTCCTGCCTCAGCCTCCCGAGTAGCTGGGACTACAGGAGCCTGCCACCATGACCGGCTAATTTTTTTTTTTTTTTGTATTTTTAGTAGAGACGGGGTTTCACCATGTTAGCGAAGATGGTCTGGATCTGCTGACCTCGTGATCCGCCTGCCTCAGCCTCCCAAAGTGCTGGGATTACAGGTGTGAGCCACCACGCCTGGCCTACTTTTGGTAAATTTATGGTTCAATAATATCAATACTGAATATTTCTACCATTAATAAAGTTTAGAACAAAGCCATGCAATTAGAATGGTTTTAGTAAATGTATAAAAATTTTATTATGCAGAACTTTGCCCCTAGGTGAAATTTGGAGCCACGCATTCTGTAAATTGAGGTTAAAAAATCAATTGTTCTGTTTTATGTTTATTCATTTAGTTTTTCTATATCTAATCTCTCCTTTTTTAAAAACCACAATTTTTTACAATTCCAAGCCAATTCCTATTTATTTCACAACTTATCTTTTAAGCAAAGTACATCAGATTCTCTTAAGCGATTATTATATCTATTTCCTTCAATATACATATGGTCCTTCTTTATCACCACATACTATGATAACCTCAAAATATATTTCAAAAACTATATATAAGATTTCTAATATTTCCTGAGCTGTAATTCTTCACAACCCATAATACCTCTTCACTTTTCGTTAATTTATTCTCTCAGTTAGTTACCTCTATTAATTAGGTACATGCCACATGAAAGGGATCAGGTATTTTATTTTCACATATAAAAATATTTCTTTTCTGTCATTAGTCTAATATTTTACATTGGAACCAACACAATTCCCAATTTGCATGTTTCTCACCAGCCTTCAGAGAAGTCTGAAATGAATCACAATTACCTAAAGGTAAAGCACGGAGTATTTCAAAAGCACTGAAACAGAATGGTGATTTTAGACTCTTTTTTTTTTTGTCCTTAACTCTGGCACACATTTTTAAAAATTGACTGCATAGTATTTAGAACTGGTGGCTCCACTCTAGCATTACGCACACATGAGAGGACAGATAACCTAAGAAGGAAAAATGTCACAGAAAATAAAAATCTTTCTCCCATGGAGGAATAAATCTTTCTCCCATGGAGGAATAAATGCTGCAGAACATTTTTATGAATCATCCAACATCACATTTTGAAGCCCCCATAGATTTAGCACAGTTCAATTAAAAGGAAAGAAAAAGCAGAAATAATGACTTAATGACTTAATGGCTTTAGGATATTGAGAATTCTGTATTAGCACTTCTCTTTCCACATGAGCAAAATGTTCCATGGCTCCATTACAAATTCCACTATTTATTCTCTTTCTCATTTCCATTTCTTCTAGCATCTTCTAAACATCCCTCATTTGAAATCCCCTTTTCTGGATTTAACTGTGGCTATTTCAGGCTATAATCCATTTCCTGTACCAAAAGGAGTTTATTCCAGTGGTTCTCAAGTACAAAAAATATGCCCTTGATCATGAAAGCCACAGACCAAAGTTCTTGGTTTCGGGAGATGATAAAGTAGCCTAGAAAAAGCCTATAATAGAGATCTAGAATGTCCCTAGCAAGTTTCTAATAAAAGTTCAAATTAATTAATGTATTTTCCTGAACTTAGTTTTTAATAGATAATTTAAAATGTCAAAAGAAACAAAAAAATATGATTGGGACATGTCCACCCAAGTAATGAGAGCTTATATTTTTCTTCAAGCCCCACTACCCATCTAACTATTAGCTGAGACCTAAGATTCAAGTCATAAAAATAATTAAAATTGAACAACTCATTCTATATTAACAGCAGATATATAGATATTATATATCTCCTTCTTACTGACTGAACAAGGCAAATATATAGCCCTGGTGAAATTCAGCACGTCAGATATCTAACAATAGCTTTCCAAAAAACATTCCGTTGTCCTTATCAAAATTGCAAACACTTTCATAGAAAACGTAGATAATTAAATAAGAATAAATCTTTCATTTTAATCACCTCATTTAAACTTCATTTCTCTTTGAGTGCAAATAATACTTATTATTCTAAAATTCAATTTACAAAAACTACTTTAGTGATAAAACATTTTCTTCATTCAAATTAGGATCATCAATAAATAGTTCCTTTCACTCTGAGAAGTGTGTCTGATTAGACTTAAATTTTTCTCTAGTTTATTGTTAAAAGTTTCTGTCTTAACTAGATCTACCATGCCTATTTAAAATGTATCAAAATAAAAATTATCTAAATTATAACCCACAAATTCCAAGAATGTAACAACATCTATTAGCTATTTTATTCCAACTTTAATAACATTTCCCAAAACTGTGAGTTTTGTACCGTTAAGGTTAAACTTTGATCAAATCTGAATAAGAAAAGTTTTTATAAATTTCATAAAAGTGTTGTCAACTCAGTAAATATATCTCCTCCTAGCTAAATGATATTCCAATTGCCAATGCCCCTTCCTATCCAAAAATATGTCAGAGAATAATTTAACTTAGGAAATTTTGTTTATTTCACCAGCTCACTGGGGATCCAACTCACCCTCTATCTTGTGGCTGAAGGATTTATTACTGGTCATTTCTTCAGAAATTGTATGTGCGTGTTGAGGGGATGCTATTATACACCCCCTCATATCAATTTGAAAACACCTGCCCAATATTGTTTACACTAATATCCTTTAAGATTTGCATAATTAATAACAGTGATTTGTTTGTTTGTTTTTGAGACAGTCTCCTTCCGTCGCCCAGGCTGGAATGCTCTGGCACAATCTTGGCTCACTGAAACCTCTGCCTCCTGGGTTCAAGCGATGCTTTGTGCCTCAGCCTCCCGAGTAGCTGGGATTACAGGTGCATGCCACCACTCCCGGCTAAGTTTTGTGTTTTTAGTAGAGATGGGGTTTCACCATGTTGGCCATTCTGGTCTTGAACTCCTGACCTGAAGTGATCCACCTGCCTAGGCCTCTCAAAGTACTGGGATTACAGGTGTGAGCTACCACACCCAGCCAGTAACGATTTTATTTAATTATTTTTTTAAGGTAATTTGACTTAGCCACATGCCTTAGCTCATCTAAGTACAGCTTATTTTTTTCGGTTAAACATTTGAAATTGTGTATCATATTTTATAAGTATGTAGTTTTTAAAGTCCCAGGACTTTATTTTTCTAAAATCAGCATGAATATTTCAGGGCAGTGTTCTGTCCTACAGACAAATTCTCCACATGACAAATTTAGTTCTTTATTAGAAAGGAAAAAGAAGTAAACATGAAAATCTCAAACATTTTCTTGCAATAGTATTTATTCTTTTTGCCTTTAGATTTTTTGCCAAGCCAATCACTGTCCTTCTCATTTTCTGTGTGCAGAATGTAACTTTTTCCACTTAATTGACAATAAAAATCTTAAATAACTTCTAAGTATGCATTATTTGTTGTCTTTTCATTGTTTTATGCCTGCAGTCTCATCCTGATTAGAGAGTGGTTCTCAGTGGCAGATTTCCTTTCTGCCAGTAGACTAAAACCCTATAGTAGTTCCTTCCATATTGTTTCCCACAGTAAGAGGCTCATTTCTTACATCTGAGTAGGTCTCTTAATTCTTTTTAAAAAATCCTCAGCACACTCAGAGAACTGCAGTTGGAGTGGCCATTCCTTACCCACTTCAGCCAACAGAGAGCCAACATCTGCGTGCTTACCAAGGATCGGGCGCACAGCCTCACTCTTCCTCCTTGTGTTCGTCCTCTGCTGTGCTTTTTTTTTTGGAACCTTCCAATTACTAACTGCAATTTTTAAAATACAATCAAGTCATTTCTTCCATTGTCAACTGCCCACTCCCAGGATAATCAGATATGTCTATTACTGTCTAGAAGTTCTGCTTTTATGTCAATCGCTTGCACCATTTACTGTCTTAGATGTGCTCTCTTTGAGCAAAGCACCTCCACTCTCCAAGGGCGATCCACCAGGGCCAAGCCACCCACATAATTTCTTCACAACATTTTTTTGAGGCAGGTATTACAGATGAGGAAGGAGCAAATGAGGAAACTGCCAAAAGTCATAAAGATATTGTGATTAAGTCAGCTAAGGGCAGATTCATATTGAACAATTAATATAATGTATTTTTAGTATCTGTCCTGTGTGAAGAAATAGTCCAAACAATTTGTCTCATTTGCTCCAATATAAGCCTGGGTAATAGAGTGAGATGATGTCACAAGTAAAAATAAATAAATTGACTGCATCATCTTAACTTTACCTGATGATACTTAGTAAGAAAATGCAGAAGTATGTGTCATATTTAAGGAAAAATTACAGCTTCCTCAATAAAGGATAGTCTATTAGTATTGGGATAATCAGTATATAAATTTTTTAAAAATGCAGTTTTGTTCAGTTGGTATGAATACTGTACCAAAGGGGAAGGGATTTCTATTAGATATATAGATAAAGAAAAAAATGACTTATGTTTTCCTATTTTTCTTAAATGTCCTTTTATAATAATGAGGTTAACCAATTTTATAAGTCAAATAATATTCATCACAAACTTATCTCTCTGATTTCTTTTGACTCAAGATCACGGAAGTTTAGCTGTAACAAAGTGGATTTCAACTTAGCATGTTCTAGTTAATAGAACACTCACTGGGTATTTCCTATGTAAGTGCTTTGATGTGCATGATACATATCAGAGACCCATGAGTTAGATTTTCTATTTCTTCCTGTGTCTGGTATAGCATCTAATTACATTAACTCTTATTAAATACTTCTTGTGGATGAATAAAAATATCGAGGTATGGCCAGGACGAATGTTAACACAGAACTAAAAACACTCATACCATCATTACTTCTGCCATTTCTCATACTTCTAGTTACTGCCAAATACTACCAGGGGGTGCATCTTTGGTTCCAGAAGTATTAAAGTTTGGTCTTGTGTGGGAAAAAATGACTTGCCATGGATCAGCAAGTTTCAGTCTGACAATAACATGACCCTTGTTGGAATTTAAAAAAAAAAAAAAAAAAAAAAAAAAAAAGGCTGGGTGTGTTGGCTCATGCCTGTAATCCCAGCACTCTGGGATTCAAGACCAGCTTAAGTAGAGTCAGATCTGTCTCTACAAAAAAAAAAAACAAAAAAAAACAAAAAACAAACAAACTTAGCTAGTCATGGTGGCATCATGAGCCTGTAGTCCCAGCTACTCGGGAGGCTGAAGTGAGAGGATCACTTGAACTTAGGAAGCTGATGCTGCACTGAACCAAGATTGCATCACCCTGTGCCAGCCTGGGTAGTAGATTGAGACCCTGTCTCAAACAAACAATTAAATTGACTGCATCATCTTAACTTTAGCTGATGCTACTTAGCAAGAAAATGAAGAAGTATGCGTCATATTTAAGGAAAATGTGTAACCTCCCCAATAAAGGAAATAAGTTTTTAAAACCTTCTCACAGTTAAATAAATCTCACAAATATTTGATCATTTTTGTTTTGTACTAATACTACATATTATTCCCTTATGTATTAATAACTGATTTAACAATGTCTTTAGATATTGATATCTCTAGTATTTCACTTTAAAATTTTTACTTTATATTCCAAGAGAGATTTATAAGTCTTTCACCTAACTGATTTCTGTAGAACTGATTAAAATATACAGCTGAAAAAATGTGTGGCAGAACTCTCTTTCTTTTATTTAAAATGTTTATTATTTACCACCTTCACTTATAAAAGGATTATGAGGTGATAACTTATTAGTCAGTGGAAAAAATTTCCCAAACAAAATTATAACCAATTGGAAGATAGTGAATCAATTAAGCCATAACTTACATGTATGTAATAATGCCATATTTTCCGTTATGTTTCCCACGTATATGTATATTATCAGTAATAATAAATGTAATAATTTTAAAAATGTATATATAATATATATTACATATATATGATAGGTATGTATTTATTAGTTTGCTAGGGTTAACATAACAGAACACTACAGTCTGAATGGCTTATAAAACAGAAATTTATTTACTCACAGTCCTGGAGGCTGTAAGTCCAAGATCAAGCTCTTAGCAGGGTGGATTTTTTTCTGAGGCCTCTCTCCTTGGCTTACAGATGATTGTCTTCTCGCTGTGTCCTCACATGATCTCTCCTCTGTGCACACTCTCCTCTATAAGAACACTAGTCTGAATTAGGGCCCACCCTACACCCTCATAGTAACTCACCTCTGTGAACGTTCTTTCTCTGAATACAGTCACATTCAAAGTACTGCGGGTTACAGCTTTAAGTTATGAATTTTGTGAGACACAATTCATCTCATAATGATATACATTATGTATGTGCATTACATGTTTAAGTATATTATAGGTATTCTAGGAAAGAGCCTATTTCCTATTTTTCAAAACATCTTTCTTATCCATCAGCAAAACACATGAATCACTTTAACTTTTGAGTCATTCTGAACTCTAATAGATAATAGGTGACTTATCATTTACAATTACCTTATGCCTCGGATTACAAAGTCATTCCTCACCTAGAGATTGTGTACAAGGCTCCTTTGAAGGCGATTAGGCAAAATATTTTCTTTCTATAAAAATACAACTCTTCTTACGTCAATGCGACTTGAAGAAAGGAGACATTGTCAGTTTTACAGGCTACAATAGAGCCTATTATCTGATTCAATTGATGGAATGCAAATTAAATGACAGCTTCAGTTTGAAGTAGATGGACATACATAGTTTCAGAGCATGAATCATATCCACCTGGTCTTGGAGAAGTAAGTTGCTTGTAAAATTGAGAGGTGACAGCGTGCTGGCAGTCCTCAGAGCCCTCGCTTGCTCTCTCGGCACCTCCCCTGCCTGGGCTCCCACTTTGGTGGCATTTGAGGAGCCCTTCAGCCCCCCACTGCACTGTGGGATTCCCTTTCTGGGCTGGCCAAGGCTGGAGCCCACTCCCTCAGCTTGCAGGGAGGTGTGGAGGGAGAGGCGCGAGCGGGAACCGGGGCTGCCTGCGGCGCTTGCGGGCCAGCTGGAGTTCCGGCTGGGCGTGGGCTTGGCGGGCCCCGCACTCGGAGCAGCCGGCCAGCCCTGCTGGCCCCGGGCAATGAGGGACTTAGCACCCGGGCCAGCGGCTGCGGAGGGTGTACTGGGTCCCCCAGCAGTGCCAGCCCACCGGCTTTGCGCTCGATTTCTCACTGAGCCTTAGCTGCCTTCCCGCGGGGCAGGGCTCCGGACCTGCAGCCCGCCATGCCTGAGCCTCCCACCCACTCCGTGGGTTCCTCTGCAGCCCGAGCCTCCCTGACGAGCGCCGCCCCCTGCTCCACAGCGCCCAGTCCCATCCACCACCCAAGGGCTGAGGAGTGCGGGCGCACGGCACCGGGACTGGCAGGCAGCTCCACCTGCAGCCCCGGTGTGGGATCCACTAGGTGAAGCCAGCTGGGCTCCTGAGTCTGGTGGGGACGTGGAGAGTCTTTATATCTGGCTCAGGGATTGTAAATACACCAATCAGCACCCTGTGTTTAGCTCAAGGTTTGTGAGTGCACCAATGGACACTCTGTATCTAGCTGCTCTGGTGGGGACGTGGAGGACCTTTATGTCTAGCTCAGGGATTGTAAATACACCAATCGGCACTCTGTATCTAGCTCAAGGTTTGTAAACACACCAATCAGCACCCTGTGTTTAGCTCAAGGTTTGTGAATGCACCAAGGGACACTCTGTATCTAGCTGCTCTGGTGGGGCCTTGGAGAACCTGTGTGTGGAAACTCTGTATCTAACTAATCTGATGGGGACGTGGAGAACCTTTGTATCTAGCTCAGACTCCGAACACGTCTGAACATCAGAAGAGACAGACTCCAGACGCACCACCTTAAGAGCTGTAACACTCACCGTGAGAGTCCGAGGCTTCATTCTTGAAGTCAGTGAGACCAAGAACCCACCAATTCCGGACACAAAATGACCATAAAATTTCAGTGGCATACAACAATAATCCCTCAATTACTCATTGCTGGGGGCAAGCTGATCTTGATTACATTCAGCTGTGGGGTGGCTTTGCTTCAGGCTTTAGATCTCTCTAGGCATGGCTACTCTCCTAGCTGCGATTGAAAATTTAAAAATAACAATAGTAAAGAAAAACCCTTTACTCTTCTATTTGAATTATTTTAAATAGATTATGCACTATGATACAAGTAGTTCACTGGAAACTTAAATGTTAACTAAAGACCATGAGACCTGTGGAGGAAAGAGGGATAGCTTTATTTTCTTAAAAAGTCAATCTGCAGGCTGGGGAGACACTGCCTTCCAGTACAAGTGAAAGTATGCTCCCAGAAGAACAAAGAGAAAGTCCGGCCTAAATAGGGAAAGTTCTTGTTCTGGTTCTCAATCAGGTCCATTTATGCACATAAACATATCAAATTTGTTCAGTTCTGATGGGTCAAAACAGTCGAGCTCTGACTAGATGGTTTTCAAGCCCCAAACCAGAAGTCTGACAGGCGTTGGGGAGTGCAGGTTGGTGTTCTAGCCACCATTTTATCTTGGCTCTGACAACAGGAACTTGTTTGGCTTGATTGTTGAAAGGGAGGTCCTGTGACACTTTTACAATGCCTTTCTCAACACACCATCATGACCCCTCCTTCACCCAACCATGGCTGCTTAGTTCTGTTTTAATTTGAGTCCCTCAGTTAGCCATGGGTAGTACATTTTGTCTTTCAGCCAGGGACATATTTTAACTTAAATATAAGGCATTCAAAATACTCATTTATCGTATTCACTTGGTCTTTATTTCTAACACCAGCAGCATGTACTTTATATTGGTTTCCTTTGCATTTTAATCTGAGATTTAAAAAATTTAGTTGAAGTCCCTCTTATCACGTGCAACAAAAAAGGGATACCTTTTATTCTTTTGAAAACTGCAGTAGTTCATAGTCTCATAGCCTACCTTTTTCATATTTTTGAAATAAAAACATAAACTCACAGCTTTGCAAATTTGGTTGTCAGAATTCATACCCAAATCCCCAAACATCCAGAGAACTTGACAAGTGGCTGCATCCTGGGATTCTCAAAATTCATAAAAATCAAGAGTTGTTTTTTGTTTAAGAAGACCTAAAGAATGGAAGATGGAAAGTCACATGAGACAAGCAAATAGAATTTATGATTTGTGTAAAATTCATCAAGGTTTTTTGTTTGTTTGTTTTTGCCTTTTATCTAGGACAAATTACACATGTAAAGTCCAGGAGTGAGAAAAAGAGTCCAGAATTACAGGGCCAATTAAAGTCCTGAGGGATTACCTCAATTCTTTAATCTTTTTTTTTCTCCTGGGCTTTTTTCTTGGGTATAGGGTGAGATATTACATATTAATTCATTTTTCTCATCATATACTATCTGCCAGCCACTCAGGGGTACATGAATGATTTATGAAAATAAAGATATAATTTTTGCCCTCCCAGTATAATGTTGCTTGTAGGGAAATAAATAGGAAATTAGATTTTGACATGATAAATACTTTGGTAGTGATAAAAATATAGTTTTGCAGAGTTGGGGAGAATTGAGCTCAGAAAAATTCCTCTGAGGGTATGTGTCTTTATTTTCATTTGTCTTTGAATAGGTAGCTTTGGCAATGATTTTTAGAATGCAAGGGATTCTGACTCTCCCTTTACTCTCTCAGCATATTCTTTTGCCTGTGGTAACATACTAAGAAAATCACAGAGCAGGCCCCTAGGATTTTAGATGACTCTATACTCACCATCAAAATGAAATTTCCTCCTTTTCAAAATAATCCACCAGGTTGTTAGTGAGTTCTGGCAGGAAATGAATAGCTCTCAATGGGACACCAACTCACTATGAGACCTCAACTACTTATCATGAATCAGGTGTTAATTGATTTTCCAAGTCATAAGCTGAGCAATGTGCATCAGCATTCCATCATTGATTAGAAGTGTGACTGAGAAAACTCCAAAGTCAAAAGAAAGTTGGATAAATATATTTGTATTTGAGAGACTCAAAAAGAAAGAAGCCATGTTCATAGGGAAAGATATTATCCAGTCTGAAAAAGATTTTACTTCTCCAACAATAACTTGGCTATAGTCACTATTGAGAACCAAAAAGACAGTGATGAATATCAATGCTGAGACTCTAATATGTCACTATAACCTGGGATGTCTTGAAACCATCTGATGATGGATTGATTAAAATGGTCTCATTCCACCAAGAAGTGGGCAGTTCTTTGAAAGAGTGATTTAAATTCATTTTTTCTGACTATAATGCTTCTGTCAGAATCAAAATGTTATGGAGTTACTGAGTATATTTATTGTCCTGTATTTCATACATTACTTATTAAAACTGCATTTTATAGAAAAACAAAGGAACCAATATACTGATATTCACAGCTTTTTACATATATCCCTTATTCTAGGAGCAACTTTGGCATGGCTTATTAAAGACTTAGTTTTAGTACTAGCTACTAGATGAGACTTGGTGACATTGAAATGTTGCCCTGCAGTAATACCTCTTAACAGTGATCACTTCTTAACAGTGATCGACATATGATGTTATTTCTTATGTAGCCAATCACTAGTCTAGGAAACAAGGGCCTCATTGTAAATAATCTAGCTTTCCATAGCCATGTCTTTGGGTTCTACTTATTTGGAGATCTTTATTTCTTAAAAAAGAAATTCCTCTACTGTGGGATGTAAATGTCATTCCACTAAATAAGAATGTGAATAAGCACCTGATCACTTGAGACTCCTTATGCTACTTTACCAACAACAAAGAGAATGTGGTAAATAAATCTGATTGCTCAGGGAAAATAGGGTTGCTGTTAAACAGTGGAGGCAAATAGACTTTCCTCTGTATCCCCTAGAGATCCTCTGGAGCCCTTCCTAATATTTGTCCAGTGGTAATTTAATGAAATACTATAGAAAATGTACACTTGTAAGATCAGCATTATTGAGGGGTTAGAATCCCCCAGAAATGAAAGTCTGAATCACTGCACTAAATTAAGAACAGCATCCAGTTGAGATGCTGAATGGGGAAAAAGGAAACATAGAAGGGGTATTGAGGAAGGAGGCTGTGAATAAGGTCCTTGGCTATAATATCTCTTAATTTTCTTTCCTATTCTCCCTCTCTGTCTCTCTTTTCCCTCTTCCCTTCAGTGTATTTATATATTAACTAATTAACTTCTTTCCCCTTCTATTTTATATAAGGGTATAAGGGGTTGGTAATTAATGTTAAGATGTTATTTATAGGTTACAGAATATTAAAGTGAGATTATGAGTATACTGGAAAAGAAATCACTAAGTGATTGAAACAGTAACTAACAGTACTTTCGGACTCTTAATTTTAGAAGAGAGTAAGCAGTTTTCATTGGTCCATAAAATTAAATGTAGTACATAGAGATGAGTCATGGTTTTGTAATTATTTTGTTTGTACTTTTAAGGGTAAGTAGAAGCCCTATTAAATATTAGATTCAAATTAAGTGTATTAGTATACACTGAGATCCTCATTTCTAACATCAGCTTTCCAGGTGATACAAGTGCTGTTGGTCCATGGACCACACTTTTGAGTAGCAAGACTTCAAAGGCTACTTGCTTAGAGAAGCATTTGATAAACAAGCAACAACAACAATAGAAATATTTTTTTTTTTTGAGACAGAGTCTAGCTCTGTTGCCCAGGCTGGAGTGCAATGGCACGATCTCAGCTCACTGCAACGTCTGCCTCTTGGGTTCAAGTGATTCTCCTTCCTCAGCCTCCAAAATAGCTGGGATTATAGGCATGTGCTGCCACTCCCAGCTAATTTTTGTATTTTTAGTAGAGATGGGATTTCACCATACTGGCCAGGCTGGTCTCGAACTCCTAATCTCATGATCCACCCTCCTCAACCTCCCAAAGTGCTGGGATTACAGGTGTGAGCCACTGCGCCTGGCCCAGAAAACATTTTAAAGTAACTTGTGTATAGGAGCAGAGTCTGGTTTTCTTTTAAAGTTATTTTGGCCCCTCTCTGGTTTATATTTCAATTTTAGAAATATATTTCAACAGATATTTTTTTCTTCAGAGTTTAATAAAAACTTTGCTCCAAATATTTTTGTAATAATTCCTTAGAATATATGAAGGTAAGAAACATAACAAAGCTTGTAGAAATCTTTATAAACAGATGTAAGATTTGTTAAATGTGTGTGTGATTGATAATTATAAATAAATATCAATAGGTGTGCGTGTATGTGTGTGTGTATGCATTGGAATGACCTTTGAACCAGTTGAAAATAACCCCTCAAACGGATACCACACACTTTTGATGTAACCCTTCAAAAGGATACCACCACACACAGGTGAACTGTATGCTGTAAGGGTAAATACAAATTTAAAAAAGAAAAATTAATTTTCTCTGGCGCAAAAAGGGTAAGAGACCCCTGCCCCACAAACATCTATTCTTTGACATTTACTTTAAAATACTTGTGAGTCCTTTGAAATATGTATGAATGTTTTTAAAGACTAAGTACGCCTCTTTAAAAAAAAAATCTAGGGATGTTTGTCTCCCAGTTTCCTGGGGAGATAGAGCCCTAATTTCACCTTGTGCCTGACTTCAAGTTGCAAAACTTCCTCCTGTCATGAAGTCAGGAGGATTTTTTTTTTATAAAGGAAATTAGCAAACCCAAGTGACTATCTCAATTAACAAGTGAATTTAGAATACCTGATGTGTAACAAATGGTAAGGCCAAGTCCTCTTAATGGGATCTAGCTATTGTTTATTTTGAGAACATGCATTTAATAATGGGTTCTGTTTGCTTAGCTACATAAGAGGTGAGATTTCTTACTGTGTTTACCATCTTATTAGCAGAGTATGATGAGTTTCACATTCTGCTTAATGCTTATTTGATAATAACACTGCATTCTTTCCCTTCTACCTTTACACAGAGCTTTGCTGGGTGAGAGAAGTTTTTGTTTTCAATTGTATTTCCCTAACAATGTCTGAAGGAGATAATGCAAGGCAGAGGGGGGGCTCTTATCACTATCTGGCACTTCTCCCCAAACTTCAGTGTTAAATTCCACGGGGAAGGGTTGGATAGGAACTACTTCTCTGGGCAGAGCAAACATAGGCCAAAGGCATACTTTGCCTGCTTTTCATCTGAAAACCCCAATCTAAAATTAGGAACGTTTGTGCCCCAGTGACAGAAAAAGTCTATCCTAAATACAACAACAACCAAAAGATGTGAGAGTTCAATAGAGCATTTGTTAGAAGCTAAAATTGGCAGATTGAAATTTCTTGCCCTGGGTCTTTTTTAGGTAGTATACAGTGGGAAGATCATCCGAAGACGTTATTAATTTACTGAAGAGAAACAAGAGAGTAACTGGGATTTTTGGGGGGTCTTTTGAAATTCTCTTTTATTCACCTCTAGTATTAGACTATTGCAAACCACCATTTCAAATGGAGTTGGAGGTGGAAGAATAGAGAAGAAGAAATAAAAAGTCTTGATAGACTAATAAAAATAAAATAATAATGTATCAGATAGTAGTTATCAAAGAAAAGGAGCTATATAGAAGTAAGATAATATAGGACCTTCAGCTGTATATATAAAAAGGAATAGGAGATCTATTTAACTGCAGAAATTAGAAAGGACAGGTTGTGCTGGTGCCAAGAAACCACTGCCTTAAAGTATCTACTAATTATACCAGTGAAAATTCCACAGAAAGTTTTCCCTTTCAGGTGAATTATTCATGTCATAGGAGATGGCTATGAGCTTTTCTCTCTGCCTGGAAATCCCTCTCCTTCACACTGTGCTAGCTCAGGTGCTATAGCATCACTCGCTGTCTGGCCCATGCTTGTCTCATTGCTACTATTGTATACACCACACTACAGTTTTTAAAGTTAACAGATTATTTTTTAGAGAAGTTTTCAGTTTACAGAAAAATTGAGCAGGAAGTTGAAAGTTCTCATATATCCCCTCTCACTTATATTCCCAGCATACTGTTTCCCCATCGTTAATATCTTGCTTTATTGTGATGTCATTTTTTGCCTGTAACATTTTTCCTAATTTTTTAACGCTTTAGTGCAAAGATTTAACTTAGCACTATGCAAAGATATTAAATAAATGTCAATGTCAATAAATACAATGAGAATTGGTAGTAAAATTGTGTATATCTTATTTGCACTTTTTAAACATCTGGGACTCTCAAAAATATGAGAACCATGAACTCTCTTAATATGTGAAGTGTGTATATACACACCTTTGAATATAAAGGTTAAAAACAGCAGGATTTCTCAACTTCAGCACTATTGACGTTCTTTTTTTGTGACAGGCTGCCCTGTGCATTCTAGGACACTTAGCCGCTTCCTAAGACTCTATCACTTAGGTGCCAGAAGCAATCCCCTCCCCAACCATGACAATAAAAAATATCTCCAGACATTTCCGAATGTTCCCTGTGTGAACAAACCACCCCTGTTTGAGAATTTCTAAAGATAGCCTCACCAGACCATAGCTAGGCAAGTATGCATCAGTATAAAAAGTCATTTCAAAATAATACTAATTGGGGGCTAATTTCTATAAATGTTAAATGATATGGGAGAGAAAGAGATCATACCATGGTAAGGTGATTACATATAAAAAGGAATTATTAACTATAAATTTCAGTAAACATTGAACATACATTTATTATGGTTTTCCTGGCACACATAAAGCAAGTAATCACTCAGAGAAGTTCTTAGTTGATAATTTGATGTAAACATTTGACATCTGTTGTTTCCAGCCTTTCATTTAATTCAAAAATTTGAATTTCAAGTGTATATATTGAAATTATTCCTTAAGAAAATGCAATGAGACTTACCAAATTAGTAACAGAAATTGCCTATACATCTAGAAACATACTCTGATAAAGATGTTTACTAGTTACCCAGTCAGTGATATATATTATCAAATCCCTCCAGAGCCCATAAATATGCAAACCAACGTTCAGCAAGCTACCATTATTTGAAGAACACACAGAGCTATGAAGGCCTAAAAAGTTAAAGGAGGACATAGTCTCTGTTTTCCAATAACCATTGTCCATGGATATTTTCAGGACTAGAGATAAAAGTTTAGTTCTGTATCAATTTAGTGTGAGGAACAAAACACTTATTCACATGAGTTCTGTTATATTAAAGTTAAAAGGGCTTTGCATGGCTCAATACTAGTTCAAATGAAAGAAAAGACACATCCTTAACATCTCTGTGAAGATAGTTTGACAAAAACTTGTGTGTTAGTCCATTCTTCCATAGCTATAAAGAAATACCTGAGGCTGGGTACTTTATAAAGAAAAGAGGTTGAACTGCCTCACAGTTCTGCAGGCTGTACAGGAGGCATGGTGCTGGCATCTGATTCTGATGAGAACTCAGGAAGCTTACAATCATGGCGGAAGCCAAAGGGGGAGCCAATGTGTCACATGGCGAGAGGCAGGAGGAAAGAGGGGAGGGAGGTTCCACATACTTCTAAACAACCTGCTCTCATGTGAACTCAGGATGAGAATTCACTTACCACCAAGAGGATGCCACTAGACCATTCATTAGGGATCTACCCCCATGATCCAAACACCTCCCAAGGCCTCACCTCCAACTCTGGAGATTACAGTTCAACATGAGATTTGGAAGGAACAAAAATCTAAACCTTATCAACTTGTAAGAAGCATCTTCACGTGATAGCTAAGACCATAGACTCTCTAGCCATGTGGGCTCAGCTTGGAATCCTGTCCCTGTCCCTGTCCCTTGTAAATTATATGGCATTAGGGAAATCAAATAAATTCAGTCCCAGTTTTCTCGTTAGCACAATAAAGAAAATAGAGGATTGAATGAGATCATATGTTGAAAACATAGCAAATATTCAACTACATTGGTTATCAGTAAGGTAACCAATATTTGTGGAACACCTGCTATGTACAGGCATTTTGCTATGACTAATAAATGTATGGTGACAAATTTTCTGTATATAAGCAATATACAGACAGTAGTTTTACTGCTGAAGAAACTTAACTCTGTAAAATAAGAAACACAAGCTGCCATATTTGCAGTGAATTATAAACCCGTGCTAAACACGGTACACACAAGTCAATATTATGGACTTTTAAATAAAATATTACCAAATGAATTAGATATTGTTTCAATATTAAATGTAAAATATAGAAATTATAAATATTACTTCCAGTTAGTCTGAGAAATTTGGATATTTTTATGTATTTTTGATATTTGTACATCAAATTAGGACTTATAATTGAAAGTGTTATTAGTGAAGAAATTCCTGAAAACTTCCTTCTTATCCATATTAGTCTGTCCTATGTTTTTGATTGTTTGTTTCCTTGAGGCCAAGGATTTGTGTTTTGTTTGTCCGTGTATACTCCAGTGTGTCCAGCACAATGCTCTTATCTGCTTTATCTCTGAAAGTGGAGGTTAGGTGAGGTAAATTGAATTGCTGTAAACTGAAAGCTTCTTTCAGCACTGCTTCTTCCTATAGCATCCTGGAGGTAGCTGGAGCTGAATGTCTCAGATAGCTATTTTTCATTATGATATTAAAATGACTGCTAGATTGGCACAAAGAAATGAATGTGTCTTGACACATTAGGGAATTAGGGAATTCCCTAATTAATGTGATTTGCCAAGGCTCACACTGTTAAAGTCAAGATGTCCATCTAAGATTTCTGGCTCAATTCCAGAGCATTCAGTTTCATAGCCTGCTGTTTTCTCTGTATGAATAATTATGATTTTTAATTGAAGTGCACATCAGCTTTTATGTACTGGTTTGGCCACTGACATGTCAGGTGTATGATAACTCTTCACATGAACCTGACTTCTTCACCTCATAAATTATGTTCCAAGATGAAATTTAAAAGACTTTTCTTGACTGCCACCTTGTGGTAGATTTTTCAAAGTAAAAAAATTTAGTCGAAGAAATATATGTACAGGTTTCCAACAATGTTAAAAAGAGAGAATTAAACTGCCAGTAATTTATGTATAAATAGAAGAAAGTTTTACAGTGAGGTTAACAAAAATCTTTAAAAATCTTCCCTGATTTAAAATAAGCATTTAAAAGAAACATCTCTTTTTTCTTTATTATTCGAAACATTAAATGGGAAAAAAACAGAAAAAATATTGCCTCATCTATGTAAAATATATATGATATCATCAAATTAATCCAAAACCTTTCCCTGATTCACTGGCTACTTTCTAAAAACTTTAAAATTAGATTTAGTTGTTGAATAATTATCAATTTAACAAGAAATTACATGTATTATAAGAAAAGTTACCCTATATAATCAACTTTTAAAAGTATGTATTTATAATTAACTACATGATACATAGTTTATTAACTATTTTATTACTTTTAAATTGAAATTATCAGTTGACAAAAATATAATTTTCTTAGAGCACTTGCAATACGTATGTACTTGTTTTTTCTTGTCTGGATGACCATGGGTAATCTGCTCCCTGTGAATATATCTAGTATGTGTCTAAAACTAAATTAATTACTTGACTGAGAAAAGGCTCTGAGTGTCCTCAGAAGAAATCAGATCATTCGATTAGGACTTATAATTGAAAGACCAAGATAATTGCTACAATCCAATAACACAGAGTGAAAGAGGAAAGATGGTTAACCACAAGGCCATCAATCATACTGATGGAAGGACGTTGGCAAATGATTGCTAATGCTTCCAATTCATAAACCAGGTAAACTATTCAAAGGTAAAGTTAAGCAGTATTTGGTTGTAAGAACTCTACTATCTAATGTATTAATTAACTATTTTCATAGACTACCTGTAAAGAGTGTCAGGATGAGAGTTGCTGGTTTTATAGAACAACTTCAGAAATCCTGCCGCAAACCTGATTTCACATTTGAAGAGTGGTTAAAGTCAACATAAGACTGAATGGGGCACCACTGAGAGTTAGACAGTCCACTAAACCTCATCATATACAGCGATTCCCAAAAAAGGCAAAGGCACACTTGGGAGCTTTGACATCGGGACCAAAGGCAGAGCTGGTTTCATTTTCTATTGGTCAAGAAAATAGCCCTTGTTGTAATTCAAGCTCTCTAAATGGAAATTATAATTATTTGTCCTTCAGCTAGAAAACATCCTACATATAATGCAGATCTCTTACTGCAAAAAAAAAAAATTAATTTGAGGTCAAAAATCCCTAAGGAGAAACAGTCAAAAAGGTCAGCCTGAGGTAATTTACTCCCAATCCAATTCTATTTCAATAACTCCACGATGGGTATATTCTTATGAATGCTCACAGGTATTCCCTTTTATCATTAATTCTGGGTATTATATTTTATACCTGCTACCAAATTAGATAGCTTTTCATTACATTGCTTTTAAAATCATTTGCCATGGTGTGGTCTTTTTTCTAAGAAAACAATGCAAAGCTAACACAAGAAGAAACCCTCATTTGAATGACCACTATTTTTTTTTTTACTATTATTGAACATGTGTCTTTCATTAGGTCTGGTCCAACTATCTCAAAGTTTATGCTTTAATGACTTTATGAAATCACTATGGAAAACACTTATGCCTTTGAGGTGGTCCCACTTTCTTAATGAGAGGAATATATTTAAATTGTCTGAGAGCTTTGTTTGCTCTCCTAGCTTGCTGCCATAGGATATGTGAGACTAGAAACTCTATCAAAAATTGTCTTAATTTACTTGCTAACATTCACTCTCTTGCTAGGAATAATTTTGATTAGTAAGAAAAGTGCTTCCTCATTGACTCTTTCACTGGCAAATAATACATTGCATTTGTGTCTTTCTTTACTGAGCCTAGGAGCCTTTAGATTCATTATCCAATTAATCCTCCTAACATTGCTGTAAAGTGAGAATAAGGAGTAAATTCCCATTCTACATGTAGGGAGATTAAATGACTTATACTATGTCACCGAGCCAGTAAAAAGCAGAGTTAAGAAAACTGCTTAAGGCTTGCTTTTATTGCAATATTAGGTCATTATTTCTCATATTACAAGAACTTCTTCAGAGATAACTGGTACTAGGAGTTGAGAACTGAACAGGTTTCCTCATATTTAATTGTAACAGTGTTCTCTGAAATGGCCTTTTGAAATTATAGCTGAGAATATAAATGCATTTATATTGGTGAAACATACTGTATTGTGTCCTAATAATATACTGAAGAAAATTACATTTGTTTTTTTTTTTGGTTATATAAGCTAGTTAGTATTCATTAATAAGCGATAATATTAAGATTCATTAATAAGTGAATATGGAGCTCAGTGCAGCTTTTCTTTTTCCCTTTCATTTATTATTAACAAACTCATTTAAGCTGCCCCCTTTATCCTATGAGGATTATGCAGCTCAATATCACATTTATTTGATTATTTTAATCATGCATTTTTAAAGAGATTTTGATATTTATACAGAATTAATTCAAGAAGCAGCATTATTTTATTTCTATTATTTTTACTTTTAAATAAAATTTAATTCAACCTGTAAAAAAGGTAAAATAATAAATATTTAATATCGTGCATGCTTCTTCATTTCTCACCTTTCCTTGCTGTATAAGAAAACTAAGAAAATTACTATTTGCATGATATATTTGACTCTGCATTTGACTACAACCCAAAAGACAAAATGCCAGAAATCCCAGAAGCATAGAATTCCTGCAGGATTTCAAGTCCGAGTCTACAGTCCAAGGAAGACTAGAGAGATTCAGATAAACTTTAATTGTACACTTGAACTTTAGCATCTTCAGAACAGATTTGGATATTTGAAATTTTCTTTTTGTAAGTCAGAAGATATTAGATCTGAAGGAGTCTTTTAAAATGTCTTTGAATTTTCTCTTTGTGTAAACAACTTTAGGAATAATTGAAAGTTGAAGGTCCAAGGTCACCTGAAATAAAATAAGCTGTGTCCTACTCACTCTAGTGGGTTGATGCCACCTTATGGAAGTTGAGGCTCACTACATCACATGTTGTAAAAGCCACAAAAGCTGAAGTTCCAGGAGAAGGGCTTCTAAATAAAATTTAGTCAATATAAAAGCATTTCAATGGATAAACAAAAGGCAGGAGATTAAATATAAAATTCTATTATAATATTTTATTTCATATTTTACATTGCATATTATTAGTCAGATATATGATAAGGTTCATTTCCCTTTGGTAATGTTAAGAGAGTTGTTTTTTAAAGCAAATATGCAGGTATATTGCCAATGTTCAGAAAAAAATTATTTAATTCCTATGTTATTCTGTTTCTTGTTTCTGCTTTTATTATTTTATTTTACCCTTGGTTTCTTCATTCCAAGAAGAAACTGGATAAGTTACTTAAAAGTGGCTAGAGCTAGAGTAAACACATCTATTTTAAAATTATACTATTATGCTAATACTCAGACTAGGCAGAAAAACTCATCCAGGGGACAATTCCCTAGTAAAAATCCCTTTGTAAGCCTGTTGAGGAGCATGAACACAGGGGTTGAAAGTTTCTACTAATCATATTAAGGAAGGAGTTGGGAAGAATTAGGAAGACAGCTGTAGCTTTTAGTAAAAGTGGGAAAAATGACTTTACAAAGGATGAAGCAAACAAGATGAGCTGGTCCCCAGTGTGTAGATAGGAAATGGGATCGTTTAATTTAGAGATATGCTTGGACCCAACCAGGCTTTATGAACATCAGACAGGGTCTTGAAAGGAGCTTATTTCCAAATTAATTCAAAGAGAGTTTTAATTTGAACATATAATGAAATATAAAATTCAGTGTCTTGGACACATTTGGTAAGTTGTACATTATTTGAGAACTCTAAAACCTATAATCCTTTATTGATCAAAACACTGTTCAATGACTCCCAGACCTAGTTGCTCATCAGAATCACCTGGGCCTCCTTTGTACATGATGCTTTTCTGACCGGGCTGTCTTCCTATTACCTGACTCTACGCATCAACTCAGATAAGTGTCATCAGTCGCTGGAATCTGCCTAGAATCCTAGCTCCGGGTATTTGGATATATCTTATAAAATTTATTCTCATCATTGTCCTTTTGTCAGCCGAAAGAATTTCATATCACTTCTCGAATTTCTTTAAATGTACCCCCTAGCCCTACTTTGTGGAAGCATTTGTCAGAAAATATTAAGAGAAAGCATCTATGAGTCTGTCATACCATAGTCAAAGTTGAGATACCTCAGAATAATTTTCTTGTAGCTACATGTACACCTCAAGGTTGCTATTCTGCTTATCCTCAGTAGCTTCAAAGGGAGTCAATCAGGGGATCAATACCAACATCCTCAACGACAACGGAACCCCATTTAGCAATACAGAACATCAAGTTGTCTTTCCACTCATGTGAGGCTACAGCTGAATTTGCCATTTTCTTCATGTCTATGTCGTCAGAGTGTAAGGTTCAAATGAACATTATATTTCTCAGTTCCTTTTATCATCTATTTCTGCTTATTATTTTCCATGTTATTTTTCCTTGACTTAACACCTTCATCTTTATCTCTATAAGCTGCGAAGCTAACTTATTTTATTAAGTCTCACATTTTTTCCTATGTGATAATTATCATTCATTTTACTCTCTCATTTCTTCTACAGATGCAGGATAATCAGTTAACTATCAGGGTTACTTTATTCTTTGAGAGTACCCATGTAAATATTGTTTATTTATTTTTCACTGGCAGTATAATTTTGGTGGTCCAGCCAGTGTGGTCACCATTATCAACTCAGATGGTGAAAAGATCTTCAGCAGAGAACTCTCAGACAAAATTTCAAAGATAATTGTGCTTGCAAAGTGTGATCACAAAGGTAATCAGAAATCAACACAAAAGTATATAATATTGAAGATGTCTGCCTTAGCTTACAGATCCTTTACCAAAGCTTTGAAGCCAGTCTCTGCAACAAACTCCACATTACCAATTGTTTTTGGTACTGCTTGTGTACACCAGCATCAATCACAATGATGTCTACAATGTTAACCATTATCCAACTAAGACAGTATGTTGTGTTTTCTTAGTGGCTTCTGGAAAGGTCTTAAAAGCAATTTACTTTAGAAAATTTATTTTTTTCAATAAAAATTGAATAATGTGAGATATAAGCTGAGCAATCTTTTCTGGAAGGTGAAGTTTTTTGTCTCCTCCTTTTCATGGCATGCATTCTGTTAGGAAAATGTGGATGGTGCTGGAAAGTGGGTAGTTGCAAGAAAAATAAATTAATAGACTACTGAGGAAAGACTATAAGAGATACCTGTGGTTTATACCTGAGGTTGGCAAGCTTTCACTGTAAAGAGCCAGATAGGAAATATTTTATGTTGTAAGGGCCATATGGGCTCTGTAGCAACTGCTTAACGCTGCCATTGTCTCATGAAAGTACTCATAGGCAGTATGCAAACAAATAAGCATAGCTGTGTTCCAATAAACATCACCAAAACATGTGGCAAGCCAGATTTGGCTGATGGACTACAGTTTGCCAACCCCTACCTTAGATTAGAATGTTTGATGCAATTATGTAACAAAAACAGAACAAGAGTCATGGGCTCAAGACCTATTTCTGACACTAGGTGTGTAGTAGAGAAACATTTTTCCTAGCTAGCAAAATTTATCATCTGTAAAATGAAAGGATTAAACTTACTTTTCCTAAACTTGCTCTCTGCTCTAAAATTACGAGTTTATTCTGTGTTCATTTACCTCTTCTTTCATATATAAGAAAAACTTGGCTTGTGTTTTTTTAAAAAGGCAATACAAATCATTCAAAGAATCATTTTAATTATTTAAATTTTTTTGAAATGATTGCTTTCTCTGGTAGGAGGAGAGTAAGGAAACTCTTACTGCAAGTGTATAAAATGTTTTCTTTGTTTTTATTCTGTGTGAGTCATCAGAATTTATTATGACTCCCATAAGAAATTTCAACAGAGAGCAAGACACGCAGAGCTATGGTGGGGAATATTGGACTGATGGGGTTAAAACATTTGTTTTTTTACTAGATCCTTTTGAATTTAGAGGAATGAACATCTTTTCTTTGCTTATACAAAGACACTCCTTTCACTTCCACTATCAATGTTGACTAAAATCCTCATTTTGGATCCCATTCCCTGCTTTGTCTGATTCCAAGATTCTCAGTGTTGATCCCTTTTTGGGCTTAATGCCTTCATAATTCCCAAGCATGGCACATTTGTGTCAATATCTTTGTACAAATAGAAAAACATAGATGTTCGAAAACCTTTCAGAGTCTGATATGACAATGCCCTTCCTTACCCTGTCCTCCACCAGATTCAGCCCCGGAGACCTCATTTAAATTTTAGCCTGCATCACAGAATGATGTGGCCTCTTTAGTGGGTCCAACCAGTCCTATGACCCAATCTTCAGCTTGAGTTTCACAAAACCAGAGCTACACATGTATTAATCCTATGATCAAATATGGAAACTCATGGACAATGTCATGAGACAAAGACCTCGCAAATCAATAATATTCAATACATATTTGTTGATAGCTTATTCTGTAGCAGGCATTGAACAAGCCAATGGGATTCAAATAAGCATTTACTCTAGGATGTGAACCATCTCCTGAGGTACTGAGTATGTTCCCCAGTACTTGTGTAACTAGAGTACATTAAATCTGATTGCAATTAGTTACACTCAGTGGCATTCATTCTGGATAATCTTCACTGAGGAGCTACATTCTAGCTGCTACAGAGTAAAAGAAGGATAGTTCAGATAGATGGAATAGATTAAGCAAAAGTGAGAAGTAATGAATGAGAATTTGGGAAGAAACAGGAAGCTCAACATGTCAAGATGTTGAAGAACATGACCTGAGATCAAGATGAAAATGCAGACTGAAAAAGAATTACCAAAATCTTGAATACCATGTTAAGGAATTAGGTTTTATGTTTCTACCCCCATGAAGGGAAACGCCACTGAATATTTTTGAGAGGAGTAGCATATCAGATTTAGAAAGTTAGCTTGTATAGAATTGTTGAAAATGTATTAAATGAAGAAAAATCTGGAAGCAAAGAGGCTGGTTAGGAAGGCAATGAATTATGTCAAACAAGTAGGAGATATGGACCTTAAGCTGGGGTGATGATCATGACAAGAGCGGCAAAGCTGAGAAACTTTTCAATCTAGGTAATGAAAGGTTGGTAGTTGAATAACCCCTGGTACTTCCACAGTTTCTATACTATACTACCTGCTTCAGGTATACCCTGCTTACAGAGATGATTCTTTGAAAAATGTTTTTATTTATTGTTTAAGTTGATGGCTAACGAGAACTGAATTGGGATCACCACACTGATGTTTGCATTTAGCTTCTAGGGTCACCTTTCATTTAATCATTTACTAGCTTTTTTAACTTGACTCATTTTATCCTCAAAATGTTTACTTCACTTTGTGATCTTTTTCGTTCCATTGTTGTTCCCATCTCTCACTTCATAGATCATGCATCCGTGTGTCACAGATTCTTATGGTGGGAGATTAACACCCATTGGAAATGATATGGGCAGCTATTTTTATCTTTGGAAGAATACTTTCAGTGGAATAATGGCTACCCAACCCATACATAGTTCATCAGTAGGGAAATATGAGAAGTTAAAGCCAGTAAGGTAGAACATTTAATTGTGACAGTAAAGAGAGCAATGTCTACTAAAAATACAAAAATTAACTGGGTGTGGTGGTGTGTGCCTGTAGTCCCAGCTACTTGGGAGGCTGAGGCAGGAGAATTGCTTGAACCCAGGAGGCAGAGGTTGCAATGAGCCAAGAACCTGGGAGGCAGAGGTTGCAACAAGCCAAGATCGTGCCACTGCATTCCAGCCTGGCAACAGAGTGAGATTCCATCTCAAAAAAAAAAAAAAAAAAAAAAAGGGAGCAATGACATGATAATTTGTTGGAAAAAATCAAACAAAGTATTTTATCATTTTATTTAAGGGAGACGTTATGATCTTCCTATTTCTTGCTTTGTTTTGTTATTGTTTCTTTTTTGTTTGCTTTTATTTTTTAGTGTGAAAAGAGAAAACAATGGAGAAGGAGAAAGAGCAAGAGAGAATAATGATCAATATGTAAAGTGTTATGGATTTAATTTCTATTTTTAATATGAGATCATGTCTTATTAAATTAAGTATCAATAAGTGTTAATAAATAATTATTGAGAAGTATCAATACATAATATATAACAAGACATATCAATAAACAAATAAATGTTTAAACATGGTCCGTTATAAACAATTATATTCTAATATAAGAAAATGTGATATCCAATTCAGTGGTTGACATTTGGGAAATGCTCAATATGGTTATGAAGAATGAATTGAATCAATAAAGAAATGATTTTCTTTATGTAAGGCAACCCTCTAGGGAATCCAGTGAGGCCACATACTAAGAACCACCATTGTACTTTCATTCTTATTTCAATCAGTTAGAAATGCTTGCTTTTCATCTTCTTGTGAATTTTTCCTAAACTGTCAGTAGATGCGACGTAAGTGGGTCTTAATTCTTTCTTTGGATATTTGGCATACCCTTATGATGTTTGGCATACTCATAAAATGATTTATGAAATAATGACTGCTTTTCATTAATGTAGTACATCTTTTATTATTTTATATGAGCCATTAATATTTGAAATAACAATTATCACTTTTACCACTTATTTAGCCATTACTGTGTGTCAGGAACACAAAGAGGAATGAGAAAATCTTTACCCTAAATGGTTTACAGCTTAATAGTGGTCATTGGAGAGAGGTTTATCAATAATCACAACACACTACAGCAATGATAAATTTGATATATGTATACCATGTTAGGAGCACATAAATTTAATAAAATTTCTATTCAGCTAACATATATGTATTACTCATCTAGTATAGATTTGATGGTGTGTTAGATCCATTTTCAGTTTACCAGACAGTCCAAGAGTTCTTAGTCTACTGGGGAAACAAACCCATTTTAATATCCCATGGTAAATGAAAAATTAGAATAAAAAGAAGTAGCACATAGGACGGCCTGATGACCTCTCTGTCAGTTTGTATCCCCCAAGAAACAGAGGCCAATATGGGACTTGATGTACAGGAAATTTATTCGAGATAACTCCTTATGAAAGATAAAAGTCGAGGGAGCAAGAATAGGTGAGAAGACCCTTCAGACAACAATATAGGTCTGCCTTTGTAAAAGGAGAGAGAGGAAAGAAACAATTGGGTAGAAAGGCCCTTAAATTGCAGCAAAGTTCTAAGAAAGTCTTGGCCAGGCTGCTGAGGAATCCCAGAGCACAAGTTTCCCATTAGAAAAATTTTTCACAGGGCAAGAAGGAGCACTAATAAACTGCCATGCTTTGTAACTGGCTGGCTGCAGCCCAGAATATATGTGGCCTGTTTTAGCACAATGATGGATAAAAGAATCGAGAGCTGGGCTGTCAGTCAACTATGTCTGCAGCAGTCAATTCTCTTGAACGAGATCTGATAGGTGACACTACAGAGACCTACTTTTCCTTTTAGGTTCAGAAGGCCTTTTCTCCATTGGCCCATTGGACTTTCTTCCTTATAGAGAACGTAGAGCAGAGATGTTAGAAAGATAAACTATAACCTCTGTCACTTCCAGTTGGTCTTGGGAATGCAGCTAATATTCATCCTTTCTGTTATCCAACAGCCATTCTAATTTACCTTAACTCTGTGCTATCACTAGTCTCACCTCAGAAACCCAGGAAGCTGTGTTACAATTCTTCCGTTGGAGCTCGCATTATCTCTGCACTGCAATGTTTTCCTCCAATATTCTAGAGTCGTTCATATAGCCAAGAAACATGGCTGTTGGCACTACAGCCTAAACGTGTGATAGAGCCCTTTATTATTTAAGACTTAAAAGTGGTAGCTTTTAGAGTTATGCAATATATGAGTCATAGGTAAGAGCTATATTCTTTTTCTTTTTCTTTTTTTTTTTTTTTTTGAGACAGAGTCTCGCTCTGTTGCCCAGGATCCAGAGTGCACTGGTGCAATCTTGGCTCACTGCAACTTCCACTGCCCGGGTTCAAGTGATTCTCCTGCATTAGCCTCTCGAGTAGCTGGGATTACAGATGCCCACCACCACACCTAGCTAATTTTTGTATTTTTAGTAGAGGCGGGGTTTCGCCATGTTGGCCAGGCTGGTCTTGAACTACTGACCTCAGGTGATCTGCCCAACTTGGCCTCCCAAAGTGCTGGGATTACAGGTGTGAACCACCTTGCCCAGCCCAGAGCTGTATTCTTAAGTGTAAAATGTGTTGCCTCCAAAACCCAGTGAGGCTTATGGAAAGTGATTCTTCCTTTTAATTTAATTGTAAAGAATACAGATGCAGCAACTTGCTTTTTTCTTTGAAGGGGTTATTCTCATACACCCTTGCTCACTGGAGTCCTAAAAATGTCTAGTAAGGTTCCTGAATCATAGGTTTTACCTTCCACACATTGGAAAATATGTGTCTTACCAAAGTCACCAGTCTATTAGCCACTTCTCACTTGTACTGTCCAATTAGTATATCGTCAGTGAAATGAATCAATGTGATATTCTGTGGAATTCCCAGTTGGTCCTTGTATCATTACTTGATTTTATTACAGAAAGCAGGACTGCTAATACAATCTTTTTTAAAAAACTGTAAATATTGTTGTCTATTCTATGTGAACATGAATCTGTTTCTAATCCTCCCTTCTGGTTGGAATAGAAAAGAACACATTTGCCAAATCAATGGATGAATACCACTTATTTGCTGCCATAATAATATGCTCTCACAATAAACCCCACCTGGCACAGCAGCTTTAATAGGAATAACACCTTTTTGAATTCATGATCATTTACAGTCATTATCCAGGATCTATTATTTCTGCAGGGGCCAGAACAATGAATTATAATAGAGAAACATTAGTCCCTACTACCCCCTGCAATGTTTAAGTCTTTAACGGTGAAAAGAATCTCCACCATTTCCCAGCTATGCTCATGAATATGATATTGTTTTGTTTTCTTTTGATGTATAATGAACTTTTAAAATTTTAGGATAGATTTATATTTATAGAAAAGTTACAAAGGTCATAGAGGGACTTCCCATAAAATTCACACAGATTTCGACCTATTAATAACATCTTATTTTAAAAAACATTAATGAACTACTATTGACACATTATTATTAACTAACGTTCACACTTTATTCACTTTTTTTAAGTTTAACCTAGTGTCCTTTTTCTGTTTCAGGACAGCATATTGCATTTAGTCATGATGTCTACTTAGGCTCCTGTTGGCTGTGACACTCTCAGAATTTTCTCTGTTTTTAATGACCTCCACAGTGTTGAGTACTGGTTAGGTATTTTGTAGAATATTCCTCAGTTTGGATACATGTGATGCTTTTTTCATGATTAGACTGGGATTATGAGTTTTGGAGAGAAAGACCACAGAAGTGTCATTCTCAGCACATCATAGCAAGAGCAGATACTATTAACATAATTTATCACTGCTGATGTTAACATCAATCACCTGGCTGAGATAATGTTTATTAAGTTCTCCACTATAAAGTTATTTTCCAACCCCTTCCACACTATACTCATTGGAGAAAAATCAAAATGTGCACCCTACACATAAGGAGTAGGAAGTTAGGCTGTATCTCCTTAAAGGTGGAGAATCTTCGCAAATTAGTTGGAATTCCATGACTCTATCAGGTATTTATCCAATAATTTCTTAATATAAGCATGAACTCAAATATTTATTTTATACTTTTAATTACAATCCAGTACTACTTAAATTTTCCAGCTTTGGCAACTGAACGCTCTTTCTAGGATCAGCCATGTCTCCAAGGAGCCCTAATTCCTTTAACTGGGGAATGATATTACAAACCAAGATCTGGGTGCTAGATGCTTTTTATTTACTATCTTAACATGCACGGGAAAGGAGCAGTTTCAGACACTTCTTTCAGTCCTGCTTCACTTTGAAAGTTCCTACCTCACAGGACAAGTAATCAAAGTGGAGTTACTCCAACTTCCAGGCATGTCAATTCCAATGATACACTCAGAGATTAGGGGAATGTCCACCGAGTGGGTCCACATATCTAGAAAATGCACATAAGCCTGCTTGGACTTTAGCCAGGATCTGTCTATTATCTGGCCCTGTCAGCTCCCACTCTAACAAAGGGCCATTATGATCCTTTGGATCTCCATATATAAGCATCAGTTCAGATTCTGTATCTGTCAGTTTTTGAAATGTCTGTGTATTCTGCTTTTCCCAGTGAAAAATCACCTGAATAAATAGCTATCCTTTCAGGGAAGGCCAGGGAATAATTACAATTTATATTTATTACAATGTTTCAGGGCCCTTCTCTCAATGGGTTCTGGAACTGAATAGTGTCTCAGGTTCAGGAACTGAGCAGGATATTGTGACCTTTCATTAGGAGGACCACTTTCAGGTTCCTGTTCCTCCATTCTTTTTTTCAGGTCATAGACATTACTTGGGACCATTACTGGCTACCCGTCTGTTTTGCCCTAGTCTGCCATTCTCTGCTAACAATCTACACAACTCATTGCTGGTGAAGCCCCCTTGACTGTTTCTCCGACCTTGCTGATGCTCAAGGTATTTGTGATTCCCTGCCTCATTGTGATTAAGCACTGCCACCTGGCTTCCATACTCTGGGATCAATCAATCCTCAAGGATGTTAAGTCCAATTCTGTATCAGCCGAACCTACTGTATCAGCCATGTCCTGTAGAAAAGAGACACCACTGAATTTTCTCATACTGCATAAGCCCATCTCAGCAGCAGATTCCTGAAGGCCTTCATGAATGGCATACAATCTATTCCAGCACTTTTTTTTTTTTTTTTTTTGGTGTGGCTTTAGTCTACCAGGTACCAGGGTGATTCGGCCATTCTCACTTCATTCTGAACAAGCCATTACCCTCATCCTAAGAGTAAGTTTGTTCCCAATTACTAGGATTCTTGATAGGTGGTTAAATCCTATGTCCTAAAAAAGTGCCCATAATTCATTGAATTCATGCTTATCCAATTTTATGTTCGGATCAAGTACCCTCAAAATATTAATCTGAGGAGTACTTTTCTGGCTCCAACTGGTACATGTTAAATAATTCTTGTATATGCCTTGGTGTGTAATTTATTTGTTTTCTTACAAGTCCCAGCATGTCTCCTATTGTTACTCAAATACTCTATCATCTTAGTAAATCAAGTATTAACTGATAACAATATGCTTAAATAAACACTAGACAATGCTGGGACTATAAATAGAGTACACAATAGGTTCCTTGTCTTCAATGGATAAGGAACTTATCTTTTATAAATAAATTCATGGTAGAGATAACTTGAAAAATTGCTATCAATAAAACCTCTGAATATATGCAATTGTCCAAGACTCCAAAGTATGCTGTGTCATAGGGGGTTTTACTCATCTGATCATATGTGGTTTTAGCTAAGTTTGTATTTATAGACATAAAGCTCTTCCTTCATAATTATGTGGAAGAAAGCTGTGTCTCTGTTGTCATGTCAGCAAAGAAGGAAGAATCACTAACAGAGAAACCATAATGAACTATTATGTAAAAGAAAATCCAGATAATATAATATGTTAATATATTAACATGCCTGCCATGAATCTGCCAAAATAATGTCAAAATGCTTTCAAGTACATTATTAAATTGAATGATATAGTATGAATGTTAGTATCTTCACTGTTGAGTAAATTATCAAAGACCCAGATTGAAGTAATTGATCAAGTCAAGCTTAATCTCTTATTAATCCTATCCTGTGTGATTTCATATATCATATTTCTATAAATAAATAAGAAAAGTGGCATTTTTAATTGCCAAAATATTTAACAATTCACTTTGGTCAAAAATATAATCTAAAAACCAAAACATGAAAGATATGACATATGACTTAATTGACTTTTGCCAAGAATCAATGTAATATATGTAATAACATACATTTTATGTATGATTAAAATAATACATGCACAAAATGTCATGCAGATGAAGAGTCTTATCACTCTTCTCAGAAGGCTCAGAAAAGTTTAATTTTAGTATCCCTTTTTCTCTCCCTTTCCATTCTGGGACACTGCTTCGTTTTATTAATAACTTTATTTTCTAGTATTTTAGCTTCTACAGGTCAACATCATAGAGGTCATTTTATTCCTGAAATAAGGATTTGCTTCAAAAACAAAAAAGGACTAGAAGACTAAATAACTAGCAGCAGAAATTCTCACTTTGCAGGACATGATTGTCAGCATTGATACATGGTCTTCATCTCTCAAATTATATAATTTATGTATTAATATGTTTGACCCCTTCAAATCTCATGTTGAAATTTGATCCCCAGTGTTGGGAGGTAGGGCCTAATGAGAGGTGTTTAGATCATAGGAGTGGATCCCTCATGAATGGCCTGTTGCCGCCCTCACAGCAATGAGTGAGTTCTTGCTCTGTTAGTTCCAGCGATACCTGGTTGTTTAACAGAGTTTGGTACCTCCCTCCCCTCTTGCCCTGCTCTCTTGCCATGTGATCCCTGCAAAAGCTGGCTCCCCTTCACCTTCCACCATGAGTGGAAGCAGCCTGTGGCCTTCACCAGAAGCAGGTGCTGGAGCCATGCTTTTTGTACAGACTGCAGAACACTGAGCCAAATAAATCTTTTTTTTTAATTTTAATTTTAATTTTACTTTAAGTTCCGGGATACATGTGCAGAATGTGCAGGTTTGTTATGTAGGTACACATGTGGCATGGTGGTTTGCTGCACCTATCAACCCGTCATCTGGGTTTTAAATTCTGCATGCATTAGGTATTTGTCCTAATGCTCTCCCTCCCCTTTCCCCCTACCCCTCTACAGGCCACTGCATGTGATGCTCCCCTCCCTGTGTCCATGTGTTCTCATTGTTCAACTCCGCTTATGAGTGAGAATATGCAGGGTTCGGTTTTCTGTTCCTGTGTTAGTTTGCTGAGAATGATGGCTTCCAGCTTCATCCATGTCCCTGCAAAGGACATGATCTCATTCTTTTTTATGGCTGCATAGTGTTCCATGGTGTACATGTGACACATGTTCTTTATCCAGTCTATCTTTGATGAGCTTTTGGGTTGTCTCCAAGTCTTTGCCATTGTTAATAGTGCTGCAATAAGCACTACTTATTGCATGTGTCTTTATAGTAGAATGATTCATAATCCTTTGGGGATACACCCAGTAATGGGATTGCTAGTCAAATGGTATTCTTGGTTCTAGATCCTTGAGGAATCACCACACTGTCTTCCACATTGGATGAACTAATTTACACTCTCATCAAAAGTGTAAAATTGTTCCTATTTCTCCACATCCACAACAGCATCCATTGTTTCCTGACTTTTTAATAATCGCCATTCTGACAGGACACAGTCATGGGCAAAGACTTCATGACTAAGACATCAAAAGCAATTTCAGCAAAAGCCAAAATTGACAAATGGGATCTGATTAAACTAAAGAGCTTCTGCCCAGCAAAAGAAACTAGCATTGGAGTAAACAGGCATCCCACAGATTGGGAGAAAAATTTTGCAATCTACCCATCTGACAAGGGGCTAATATCCAGAATCTACAAGGAACTTAAACAAATTTACAAAAAAAAAATCCATCAAAAAGTAGACAAAGGATATAAACAGACCCTTCTCAAAAGAAGACATTTATATGGCTAATAAACATGAAAAAAAACTCATCATCACTGATCATTAGAGAAATGCAAATCAAAACCACAATGTGATACCAAATAAACCTTCTATTTATAAATTACCCAGCTTTAGGTATTCCTTTATAGCAACACAGATGGAATAAGGATGTTACCTACCTCTAGTTGGCTTTTTATGGTCTTCAGAAAATATTGTGTGACAGTTCTTTAAAATCATGGTTACATTTACTTGTGTATTAAATTTATATGAGATCTCCTCACAAGTAACCAAAAACACCTTCTTCCCGAACAGTTGCTGCTCAAGTTATTTAAGTTTTCCTATGAAATGACTAACGGTAATGAAAACCTTCATATCCAGCTTGTTCTTACCATTCCCCCATTACCACAGTCTTGCTGAGAATTTTTGGTTTTGAACGTCATTGTTTGAATCTTCAAAGCTTATCCCAGTCATTTGTTGGATCACAGTAAGTGCTCAGTACCCCTTATTTAACTGAAACAACTGGGGAAAAAAAGACTATCTTCTGCTTCTCTTAAAACTACTACTACTTGGCTGGCACGGTGGCTCACGCCTGTAATCCCAGCACTTTGGGAGGCCGAGGTGGGCGGATCACGAGGTCAGGAGATCCAGACCATCCTGACTAACACAGTGAAACCCTGTCTCTGCTAAAAATACAAAAAATTAGCCGGGCGTGGTGGCAGGTGCCTGTAGCCCCAGCTACTCGGGAGGCTGAGGCAGGAGAATGGCGTGAACTCGGGAGGTGAAGCTTGCAGGGAGCCAAGATCGCGCCACTGCACTCCAGCCTGGGTGACAGAGCAGGACTCTGTCTCAAAAAAGAAAAAAACCAAAACAAAAAAAAACAAACCTACTACTACTTGTTTATATTGTTGTTGGTTTTTAATTAGCATGGCCACTTGACTTATTTTGGGACCTTCCTGAGCACGTGAACGATGGAGCTTGTTTTCTCGTGTGTTTTACAACAAAGATCTTTCATTCTCACTTTGCTTTCTCTTGCTAGATTTTGTTTTGTTGATAAAGACTATCTGCCATTTCATAGTGATGACCTGAAGAAAATGCTATTGTAGCTACTGAAATATATTTGTGATTTTTTTTTAATTTTCAGTTTTTAAAGCATCAAGTGAGTTATATGTTTAAAAGATTAAAGCATATGAACATGTCACATTAAGTTGTCAAGACACTGAAAAACTTTAGCCCTTGAGGAGTAATTACTGTCATACATCAGAATAAAATGCTCATGTGTCTTTAGTCAGATACTTAACATATTCAAATAACACCTTATA